>NW_021159992.1:0-53476 GCF_000001405.40 Homo sapiens | reverse complement strand
TTTAATATTGCCAGCAAAGTGCCATTGAATATTTCTGCTATTACAGATATTAAAATGTTCAATTTATTCTTTGTAATTTTTTTTACAAATTCATTATAATTCCATGTACGTGTTTTATAAATTCACTGTAAAGCCTTACTATTCTGTCCATCATTTTTCCTTGTAAATTCATTATCACTACAAAGTAAACACTTATCTTTTAGTAATTTTCTTCCTTTAGGCTAAAATTTATGTGGAAAAATTTATCACTTTAACCATGTTAGAAAGTACAATTTGGTAGTATTTAATACATTTACAATGTTGTGCAACTATCACCACTCTGCAGTTTTAGGACGTTTACATTATCTCAAAAAGAAGCCCTTTACCCTTTAAGCATCATTTCCCATTTTTCTCTCCCTTCAGCCCCTGAAAATTACTGATCTGCTTTCTAACTTTATAGATTTGCCTCTTATGGATAATTATGCAATATATGATCTTTCGTGTCAGGCTATCTTCACTTAGCATAATGTTTTCAATGATAATCCATGTTGTAGCAAGTATCAGCACTTTATTTCTTTTTATGACTGAATAATATTCTGTTGTATATAGATACAATTTTGTTTATCCATTCATTATTTGATAAACTTTTTTGTTGTTTATGCATTTTGCCATTTTAGCTATTGGAAATAGTGCTTTTATGATTATGATGTTTTTGTTTGAACACTTATTTTCTCTTTTGCGGGGTATATACTAGAGATAAAATTGTTTGGCCACATGTAATTCTATGTTTAACCTTTTGAGGAGCTGCCAAGCTATTTTTCATAGTGGCTATAACGCTTTGCATTCCCACTAGCAATGTGTGAGGGTTTAAATTCCTCTACTTTTAAAAATTATGCCCATCCATGAGATGTAGTATATTATTGTGATTTTGATTCACATTTTTCTAATGACTAGTGATGTTGACCTTTTTACATGTGTATTGGCCATTTATTTTTCTTTGTTGATAAAATGTCTAAGTTTTTGCAAATGTTTAATTTTTAAGTATATTAGTTTGACAGGACTGCCATAACAAAATAGTAAGTAGCTTAAACAGCATAAATGTATTGTCTCACAGTTTTGCTGGCTAGAAGTCTGAAATCAAGGTGTTGGAAGGCGGTTTTCTTCTAAGGGATAGTAGAAAAATATTTATCCCAGACTTCTCACCTTGATTTGTAGATGCATTGCCACAATCTCTGCCTTTATATACTTTTCTGGTTTTATTTTTTTTTTAATTTTTTTAAATTTTTCTGGCTACATAGTAGTTGTATATATTTATGGGGTACATGAGATGTTTTGTACTCCATAATATGTGAAATAAGCACATCATGGAGAATGGGTATCCATCCCCTCAAGCATTTTTCATTTGAGTTACAAATAATTCAATTACATTCTTTAAGTTATTTTAAAAACATATAGCTATTATTGGCTATAGTTACCCTATTGTGCTACCAAATAGTAGGTCTTGTTGATTCTTTTTTAATCTTTTTTGTACTCTGCTTTTATATTTAGATGCTGTTCTTCTTGTGTGTGTGTATCTGGGTCAAAATTTCCCTGTTTTTACAAGGACACCAATCACATTGGTTTAGGGACCCAGCATACTCCAGTATGATCTCATCTTAACTGATAACATCTATATCCACTCTATTTTTAATAAGGTCACATTCTGAAATACTAGGGGTAGGCTTCAACATGTAAATTTTTGGGTGCATAATTCAACCCATAACAGGTAATTTATCTTTTTGCTTTTTTGTTTTGAGTTGTAACTGAAATATACATATAAACAATTGTCTATCTTCAACTACTATATCTCTCCCAATTTACTGATTGTGAAGTGTCAGTGTTTTTTTTCAAGTTTGTTTTGGATTTTCAGATCTTTTGAAATTATATGTGAATATTAGAATCAGATTTTCCTTTTCTAAATTTTAAAAAGCAGTTGAATTTTAACAGAGTTTGCACTAAATCTGTAGATCACTTTGGGAATATTGCCATTTTAACAATATTAAGGTGTCCAGTCCATGAACATGGTACATCTTGGCATTTATATAGATATTCTTTAACTTTTTTCAGCAATGGTTTGTTGTTTTCATTGTTCAAATCTTGGATATCCTTGGTTATATTTATTTTGTGTTTTGATATCATTGTAAATATTTTATGTTTTGATATCATTGTAAATAATTTGTTTTTTGATATTGTAAATATATTGTTTACTTAATTTTCCTTGTGCTTTGTTATTTGGTAATGTATATAAATACAACGTTTTATGTGTTGATAATGTATCTTGCAACTTTGCTATACTTATTTAGTGTCTCTAGTAAATTTCCTTATGGATGTTTAAGTATACTGTACATAGAAGATCAAATTATCTACAGAGATAGTTTTACTTCCTGATTTTAGTTTATTTTTCTTGCCTAACTGCTTTGATTAAACCGCCCAGAAAATATTAAATAAAAGCTGCAAAAAATAGGCATCTTTATATGGTTCCTGGTCACAGAAAGAAAGCTTTTAGTGTTTCACCATTAAGTGTGATGTTTCTGAGAATTTTCATAAAACTATTTTTTCTGTGGAGAAAATTCACTTTTATTTCTAAGCTATCATGAAACTTCTGTATCACTTGACATTTTGTGTTTTGATTGTCTTTTATTTAATTAATGTGGTATATTACACTGGTTGATTTGTATATATTAAACCACTATTGCCTTCCTGGTCTAAACTTCACTTGTTTGTAGCATATAATTCTATTAATATTATACTTAATTTGGGTTGTTTGTATTTTGTTGAAAAATTTTTCATCTATTTTGACAAGATATATTAGTCTGTAGTTTCTTTTCTGTGATATATTTGTCTAGCTTTAGAAACAGTGTAATTCTGACCTTATAAGGTGATCTAGAAAGTATTACAACCTCTTTTTCATGAGTTTGAAAAAGATTGGTATTGAATATTCTTTATGTTTGGTAAAATTTACCAGTGAAGGCATCTAGTCTTGAAGTTTTCTTCATTAAGAAGTATTTGATTACTGATTCCATCATTTTACTTGTTATAGGTCTATTCAGATTTTTATAAATTTCTGGAGTCACTGTTTGTCATGTATTAGTCTATGTATTAGGCTGTTTCCACACTGCTATAAAGAAGCATGCAAGACTAGGTAATTGATAAAGAAAAGAGGTTTAATTGATTCACAGTTCCACATGGCTGGAAACTTACAATCTTGGCAGAAAAAGAAGCTGGCATGTCTTACGTGGCAGCAGGCTAGAAGTGAAGTGAGAGCACAGGAAAAAACTGCCACTTTTAAAACCATGGCATCTTGTGAGACTCACTCACTATCACAAAAACAGCATAGGTGAAACTGCCCCATGATCCAATTATCTCCCACCAGGTTGCACCCTTGAGACGTGGATATTACAATTCAGGATGAGATTCCAGTGGGGACACAGAGCCAAATCAACCCCTGACCCCTCCCAAATATCATGTCCTCACATTTCAAGACCAATCACCTTTTCACAACAGTTCCCCAAAGCTTTAACTCATTTCAGCATTAACTCAAAAGTCCACAGTCCAAAGCCTCATCTGAGACAAGACAGGTCCCTTTTTACCTATGAGCTGGTAAAATCAAAAGCAAGTCAATTTCTTCCAAGATACAATGGATGTAGGAGGCATTAAATAAATGCTCCCATTCCAAATGAGTGAAATTGTACAAAACAAAGGGACTACAGGCTCCATGCAAGTCCAAAATCCAGCTGGGCAGTTATTAAATCTTAAAGCTCCAAAATAATCTCCTTTGAATTCATGTCAAGGGCAAGCTGATGCAAGAGGTGGGTTCCCACAGCCTTGGGTTACTCTGCCTCTGTGGCTATGCAGGGTACAGTCCCACTCCCAGCTTCTTTCACAGGCTGGCACTGAGTATCTTTGGCTTTTCCAGGTACACAGTGCAAGTTCTCAGTGGTTCCACCATTCTGCAGTCTGGAAGATGGTGGCTGTCTTCTCACAGCTTCACTCTGTTCTCACAGCTTCAACTAGTGCCTTAGTGTGGATTCTGTGTGAAGGTCCAACCTCACATTTCCCTTCTGTAGTGCCCTAGCAGAGATTCTCAAATAGGGCTCCATTCCTGCAGAAGATTTCTGCCTGGACATTCAGGAGTTTCTGTACATCCTCTAAAATCTAGGTGGAGGTTCCCAAACTTTAGTTCTTGACTTCTGTGCACCTACAGACCCAACACCAAATGTAAGCTACCAAGTCGTGGCACTTGCATCCTTTGAAGCCGTGGCCAAAGCTGTGTCTAGCTCTTTTTAGTGCTGGCTGGAGCTGGTTACAGCGAGGTTATGGGCCCAGCCCAGGAAACCATTTGTTCCTCCTAGCTCTCTAGGTCTGTGATGGGAGGTGCTGCTGTGAAGGTCTCTAACATGCCCTGGAGACATTTTCCCCATTGTCTTGGCTATTAACATTTGGCTCCTAATGTTACCTAAACATTTCTGCATAGGTAATGACCTATGCAAATTTATGCAGATGGCTTGAATTTCTCCTCAGAAAATGGGTTTTTCTTTTCTATTGCATTGTCAGGCTGCAAATTTTCCAAACTTTTATGTTCCGCTTACCTTTTAAACATAAGCTCCAATATCAGATCATCTCTCTCAAGTTCAGAGTCCCATAGAGCTCTAAGGCAGGGACAAAATGTCACCAGTCTCTTTGTTAAAGCAAGAGTGACCTTAGCTCCAGTTCCCAATAGGTTCCTCATCTCCATCTGAAACCACCTCAGCCAGACTTCATTATCCATATCACTGTCATCATTTTGGCCAAAACCATCTATCAATTATCTAGGAAGTTCCCAACATTCTCACATTTCCCTGTCTTCTGAGCCCTCCAAACTGTTCCAGCTTCTTTCTGTTACCCAGTTCCAAAGTTGCTTCCACATTTTCAAGTGTCTTTATAGCCGTAACCCATTCACTGCAGTTCCAATTTACTATATTGGTCCATTTCTACACTGCTACAAAGAACTGCCCAAGACTGGGTAATTTATAAACAAAAGAGGTTTAATTGACTCACAGTTCTGCGTGGCTGGGGGAGACCTCAAGAAATTTACAATCATAGCAGAAGGGGAAGCAGGCACAGATTACATGGCAGCTTACATGGCAGCAGGTGACAAGTGAAGTGGGAGCACAGGAAAACTGCCACTTATAAAACCATCAGACCTCATGAGTCTCATGAGACTCACTGACTATCATGAGAACAGCATGGGAAAAAGAGCCCCCATGATCCAATTACCTCCCACCAGGTTGCTCCCTTGACACATAGGGATTACAATTCAAGATGAGATTTGGATGGGGACACAGAGCTAAACCATAACAGTCTGATTGTGCTTCCATAAGAAAATATCAGAGGCTTGGTTGCTTAGAAGACAGAAATTTATGTTTTAACTGGAACTGGAAGTCCCAGAATAAGTTTCTCTTTCTAGATTTCAGATAGTTATCTTCTCACTGTGTCCTCATATGGCTTTTCCTTGATGCATGTATGAGAAGAAAGGGAGAGAGGGAGAGAAGGTATCTCTTTGGTATCTGTTTTCTCCTTTTTAAGGACACTAGTGACATTGGATCAGAGCTCACCCTTATAACTTTATTTAACCTTAATTATTTTCTTAAGACTTCATCTCCAAATAAGGACATATTAGGGTTAGGGATTAGCATATAAATTTTTGGGGAACACAATTCAGTCTATAAAAGGTAATTTGTATATTTCTATGAAGTTGCACATTTTATATAGGGTAGTTCATACTGTAATAAAACATTGTTCATACTTTTCTGTGATTATTATTTTAATTCCTGGCCAGTCACGGTGGCTCACACCTACAATCCCAGCATTTTGGGAGACTGAGGTTGGTGGATCACTAGGAGTTCAAGACCAACCTGGCCAACCTGATGAAACCATGTCTCTACTAAATACACAAAAAATGTAGCTGGGCATGGTGGTGCACACCTGTAATCCCAGCTACCCAGAGGCTGAGGCACGAAAATTGCTTGAGTCTGGAAGGTGGAGGTTGCAGTGAGTTGAGATTGTGCCACTGCACTCCAGACAGGGTGACAGAGTAAGACTATGTCTCATAAAAATAATAATAGTAATAATAATAATTCTTTTTAATCCTGTAATATTTATCATATTACCACATTTTCATTTTAGATTTTAGTAATTTTAGTCTTCTCTCTTTTTTTCTTGATTAGTCTAACTAAAGATTGTCAATTTTGTTGATTTCCTCAAGTACAAACTTTGTTTTGTTGATTATTTTGTTATTTATCTCGGCTGTAATCTTTATTGTTTCCTTCGTTTTCCTAACTGGATTTAATTTGCTCTTCTTTTTATATAATTTTAGGTATAAAATTAGTTTATTGATTTTAGAATTTTTTGTTTTATGTATTCATTACAGCTATATATTTTCCTCTAATCCTCACTTTTGCTACGTTTTATAACTTAAAGTATGTTGTGTTTTTGTGTTAATTTGTCCCAAAACATTTACTCTTGTTATTTCTTCTTTGAGCTCGTAGTTGTTTAAGAATATATTTTCTTTTTTTACATAATGATAAAATTTTCAATTTTTTTGTTTTTGATTTCTAGTTGCATTTCATGTGGTTAGAAATGATACTTTGATCTGATCTCTTATAAGTGCATAAAAATTTTATAATCAGTTTTGAAATTGTTGAGAATTGCATTGTGACCTAAAATATGGTCTGTCATGGAGGACATTCCGTTTACATTTGAAAAGAATGTCTATTCCCTTGTTGTGTAGAGGAGTGTTCTTTATGTCTCCTTGTGTTTTAATATTTTATTTGTATATATATATTTTTGAGATGGAGCCTTGTTCCATCACCCATGCTGGAGTGCAGTGGCACAATCATAGCTCATTGCAGCCTTGGGCTCCTGAGCTCAAGCTATTCTCCCACCTCAGCCTCTCAAGTTTCTGGGATTACAGGAATAAACTGCCATGACCAGCTCCTCCTTTTAATTATTTCTCTCTTTGTTAAATTTACTGATAATTTTTACTTGGTAAGACATTTTTCTCTTGTTTTATTTTTTACTTGTTTTGCGTGTGTGTATGTGTGTATTTTGTCCATGGCTTTCTTTAGTTATTTTGTTACTGGTGGAAGGTGTTCTAGTTACCAGTGGTGAATCCATATGGATCTGCAGCAGCCTCAATTCTTGCCTCTTCAGAAGAAAGAATTTGACTGAAGAGCATGAAACAGAAAAAGAAACTGAGGTAAGTTTCAGAGCATGAATGGGAGTTTATTAAAAAGCTATAAAACAGGAAAGAAAGGAAGGTACTCTGGGAAGAAACCCAACCAGGAAACCTGAAGAACAAATGCAATGTTTAACCTTGATTCTAGGACTTTGTAGGCTGGTTCACCTCTGGCATCTTGTGCTCCTTTCTCATGATTCTTCCCTTATGGGGAGCTGCCCACATACACAGTGCCCTCCTTATCATTGCCAAGTGAGCACTGGCAGCATGTTTAGGAAGTCATATTCATATCCATCTAAGGCTTTCTTCCCTTTTCAGGTGGAGTGCCCAGAAAAGCTCATAGTTCATCATTTTTTCTCTTAATGTGCATGCCCAGGCTCACTCAACCAATACCTGAGATTTTACTGGAAGCCCTTTCTGTTTCTCCCTGGAGCCTGCATTCAATTAACATTTTAATATTAACAGCTGTGGATCAGCAGGCGATTGTCTCTCCCTGGTGCAGGCTACCAAATTATCATTTTTAGAGAGGCAAAGCAACAATTGTTGAACCATCACCAGATCGCTTGACATTCCTGGCAGGTTGGTTGAGAGGGAACCCTCTCTTGCCCTGATCGTGCCCATCTAACTACTGGTAACATTTTTGGCATAAATTAAACATTTGATTTAAAGTCTTCATCTGGGAAGTCTAATATCTGTTCTTCCTCTGGCACAGTTTCTATTAATTTATTTCCTCTTTGAATGGACAACACATTCTTGTTCCCTTGCATATATCACTGATTTTTTAAAAGCTGGATATTTTTAATATTTTAAAGTGGCGACTTTGAAAATTATATTCTCCACCTTCTTCATGGATTGTTGTTGTTGTTTGTATGCTAAGTGACATTTCTGAACTAATGTCTTAAAGCCTGTATTCATTGTCATTTGAGGTCACTTAAAGCTCTGTAATGTTTAGCCATGCCTATTGACAACTCTGCCTTAGCCTTCACGTCCTGCTTTTATAGATCTTAAAGATCAACTGAAGCAGGATAGTTCCAGGTTTTCTCAGGTTTTTTTCTGGCATGTCTTCAGCCCTTGGCCTGTGCTTGGCCTCTTGGATTCCCAGAACAGGCAAGAACTTTTAAAAGCCTTCATTCTCTCAAGTATCTCCTTCCCAAAACTCTGTCTTCCCAGGTTTGTTTGTCTATTTTTTCCCCAAATAATTACTTCTTGCCTCAGGCAACAGCAGCTAATTCATTTTCATTTAAATTTCTGACAAAGGTCACCTGAGAAGCTACCTCATCTCTGGGTAAGATCAAAAGTAAATAAAACAAAGGAAATCCTTTGAGCTAATCCTTCAAGGAACCACCAGACAAGTCACAGAACACTACTGCAATTCTTCAAAAAGAAGGTCTGTATTGTTCCCGTTGGTACCTGCAACCTGCACCAGAAATGTGGGCTACTGTCTTCAAGGCCACCATTGAGCTGGGGGGATTGGAGGGTGGTAACAAGATGACTTAAAATACCACAGCGCTATTTGACAAAATTCAGCAGCTTTGTTCTTCTTTAAGTAAGTATCCCACTGGTTGTTGCAACTGTTGATTATAGAGTCATGAAATAGTTCATTCTATTTTTGTCAGTTTATTTATTGCTTTCTTGGAGGAAAAGGATTTCCAACCACATGATTT
The DNA here is from genome assembly GCF_000001405.40 of Homo sapiens. Taxonomy (NCBI): domain Eukaryota; kingdom Metazoa; phylum Chordata; class Mammalia; order Primates; family Hominidae; genus Homo; species Homo sapiens. The sequence goes on along the minus strand of NW_021159992.1, from coordinate 44,578 downwards.
TCAATAGTGTCGCTACACTTAATATTTTTATTTATATTTTAAAGAACAAAAATAAGCTTAGTAAGGAAACAGAAGGATTTAGGTACAGAGATAAGCCAAAATGACAGAATCTTAATGATAGAGGTAAAATGTCTTTGTAATCAAAATCGCAGTATCAAAGCAAGAGAATATAAACATCTTTTATCTTTTTTTATACATAGCCATATGACCTTTACAATTTTAGATATAATTTTAAAATGTGTGATTTTATTATCACTAGAACTACTAAAGCCATATTTCCCATTTCTTAATTTAATGAAAGTCTGCACAATCTAGACACCTTTTCTTAATGTTTTCATGATATATGTGATGTATATAATTAAGGCCTTTGCAGATGCAAAAGGTTCTTTTCTATTTTCCCTAAAAATGGATGACAGTGTGTTAGAATATAGAACACTCTTACTGCCAACATTTCTCCTTAATGCTCTACAAATGTAGTCCATAATCTTCCGTAATTATTTTGCACAGGAGAAAAATATGTGGAAAAAAAATTATGTATCCTGGTTTAAAGTATGAGTGCTTTTTCATCAATTTCAATCATTTACTTAATATATATTTATTGATTAGTTGCTGCATGTGGAACTGAACTACTAATAGAAAGTTTTCAACCCTCAGGGAGCTTAGTCTGTTGGAAAATAGCTATAAACCTAATCATGATAATATCTATTACAAGTCTTAGGCATATAAATTGATAGAATAGATGGTGGCACATGTTGAATTTTGTGTGGCCTATGAATTAAAAATATTTTTTGTGTTTTTAAATGGTTGGAAAATTTTTAAAGTTTTTTAAATGTTATTTTGTGACACATGACAATCACGTGGCATTCAACAAGTTTCCAGAATTAAAGTTTACCTAAACCTAGCTATTCTAATTTTTCACTTTCATTGGTCAGAAATGTTGCTATGATTGCTTTCATGCTGCAACAGCAGAATCACGCACTTGTGCAAGAGACCTAAGTTTCACAAAGCCTAAATTATTTACTCTGGCCCTTTACAGAAAAAAAGTGTACGGATGCCTGGTCTAGAACAGTGGGGCATTCTTTCTGGGAATCCCATTATGCAAAAAATAGCCAGTAGAAATCTACTGTTTGAAAAAACAATAGATCTAGCACAATAAAATTTATTTATTAAAGCACTTTAATTGGAATTTTAAAATATAAATTATGTTACTTTTCTTAGTTTTCCTAAAATTGGTAGGTGTTTGTAGATACATATGTTATTTGCCATACACATATATATATACACACACACCATATGTATCTTTTTATTTTGTTAAATATATAGATATACATAAATAATACATGGAAATATGTGGATGAATATTTTATATCCGTACAACTACTCAAATATACTATATTATATCCAGACTTTTCAGCTGTCAAAATCCTTCATAACTGTTTCCCAACTTGCTATTCTGACCTTATATTTCACTAGTACCTACTTGTGCCCTTCCTTTAGCCAGACTGGTTTGCTACAGTTTGAGTGAATACTTACTTACTCACACACACAGATGGATATGATATCATCATATTTTGAAAGTATGACTTCGTGTGTTTTATTCATTCCTTCATTCATTAAACAAGTGGTTATGAACACCTATAATGAGGTAGGCATGACTTCGTACTGAGTCTAAAATGGTAATTAAACCTGATATATTTTCTGACCCATGGATCCTAGCCTCTAGAGATGGTATGTAATATTTACATAAATTAAATAAATGTGTTTATAAATTATGGAATACAGTTGAGGGCCACAAAGAGTAAACACAGTTCTCATAACAATTTAGTTAAAATCTTTCATATTTAATGTATTTTTGAAAGTGAAATTTTATTTAATGACTATAAATAAATGCTTATTATACAGCGTAGCTAAAAGTATGACATTTTATTTAATTATTTATTTATTTATTTATTTATTTATTTATTTATTTATTTGCAATGGGGTCTCACTCTGTTGCCCAGGCTGGAGTGCAGTAACATGATGATAGCTCACTGTAATCTTGAACTTATGGGATCAAGCAATCCTCCTGTCTCAGCCCCCTAAGATGGGACTACAGTGAGTACCACTATGCCTGGCTATTTTTAAAATACATTTTTTGTAGAGACAGAGTCTTGCTATGTTGCCCAGGATGGTCTGAACTCCTAGCATCAAGCAATTCTTCCACAATGGCTTCAAAGAGTGCTGGGATTATAGGTATGAGCCACCACTCTTGGCTAGGTATTGGAATTTCATATATGTTCATTACATTCATTATGAGAACAAAAACCAAAACTCATTTTCAGTTCTAAAATTATTTTGTTAACTTATTACATCAACTTAAGTCCAGGAAAATTGTTCCCATAAGATCATTTCCACCAAAAATGAAAGAAAAAAATGGAAAATTATGTGGGTTTTAAAATTATGTTCTAAATCTTAAGACATATCCTGAAATCACAGATAGTGAATAAAAAGCATTAGGTATCACCTCAAGACATCTATTTTTGCCTTAAATTCATGGCTGTTTCTTTACTTTCATGGGGATGTTATTACACGCTACTAAGTTTAACTAGATTGTTATTTTGATCATATGCAATGCATAAATCATTAAATAATATACTAAGGAGTCCTTTTTTTGCCTATCACATTCTTGAACTTTCAGCAGGTAGCTTTTCTGTGTCCTCATATTTAGGGTAAATCTGGCCAAATGTCAATTATACAAATGGGTGAAAATTTTCTAACATGTTAATGCAAACACGTCATTATCCAATGATATAAAACAATCTATTTCATTTTTGTTAGTATAGAAATAAGCCTTAATGCTAATACTGTTTGTCTAAACAAAATTTAGAATTACATTTTAATGCTCTGCCAGCACTTTTGAATTTTAGCAAAGGCCAGTCCATCTCAAAACACAGCACTTTCTGAGATTTTTAAATAGGTGTAATAGTCATCAAAATATGTTTTTACTTGCTATAACAGGTCAAAAGTGATTTATGACTAAAATTAAATCACAACCAAAATTCTAGGTAGACATTAAAATTGAATCTGGATCTTGGCATCTGGATTTCATAATTGGCAAAATGACACTGAGTGTGACTTCTGATCTGATGCTACAGCACAACATGAAAGTGATGATAAATTGAATGTAAAAGGAAAATTCCTCATTGTTCCTCTGTGTCACCCTACTAAAGAATACATTTACAAACACTAAGTGCATTTGCAAAGATGTGCATGGAAACGCTATTCATGAATTTGAGTGACAGATCTTTGTTAATCCGACAAAAAGTTAATAAAGCCTGCGAGTATAAGACAAAGTGAGTCTTAAGCTATGGTTTGTGGAACAATTTTATTGTTCTTAAAGCTTATCCAGTTGGTCTTCAGTTTACTTTTTAAAAAAAAAAAATCTTTATTTTTTTTTTTGTTCTGTTTTAAATTGTTTTGTGTGTCCAGAGTGAAAATTCGCATTAGGAAGAAAATGTGGAATTTTATAAACTAAGTGAAAGAAAAACAAATGTTCTGGCTTTAGGTGCATGTACTATGTAGTTTATTTAAATGTGAAATGATATCAGTACAAATGGTTTTCTCATTTTCACCATAGGAAAATGCAATGTTTCCTGAGACACATGGAGTATAAAATAATCAATCCCTTACTTATAATAAGCATATGATATGTTCAAAGACTTTCAAAATTTTCAATTGGAAAAAAGCCTAAAGTATTTGCTAGTGCTGATGACACCAGGAAGATAAGCTTCAAACCTGCCTTTGGAGAGAGTCAATAGCAGAATTCTGGATGACATGTGACTGGAAGTAATACTTTTTCTATCATGGATTATTAAAAACAATGAATGCCTCATGAGAAAGAAATAACAATTGAATTGGTAGAGAACCCTAATCCCCGTCGCAGGATGTGTGACAGCGGTGTGGCTCATTTGTTTGGCCACCATGCACACTCACCCATTGTGGGAGGAGGAGCACACAGATGGGCAGGTGTAGGAACTGGGGCAAATGCCCCTGGGCTCCAGCACCATGGCAGTGTCCAGGTGTGGGAGCCTGTGACTCATGATGCCCAAGAGGGCATTTGTTACAGTGTGCTCCTTTAGACTTGCCCTCTGTGGACAGCTTAAGTGTTAACCAGTTCAGTGACCTCTTGGTACCCAGGTCCTTCTCCAGCGTCCAGGAAGAATCGAGTCTCACACAGACTTGAAGGATGATATGTGAGGGTTTTATTGAGTGGTGGAGGTGGCTCTCAGTGGGGTGGATGGGGAGCTGGAAAGGGGATGGAGTGGAAAGATGATTTTCCCCTGAAGCCTGACCATCCATCTTCTCTCTGACTGCCCCCAGCCAAACTCCTCTCGGCATTTAGACATTCCTTTTCTTCTCAATGACATGCAGTTCCGCCTTTCTTCTACTCTTCTGTTCATCTCACCATCTGCTTGTGTGCTCATCTGCTTGTGGAGTCTAGGGATTAGGGTTTATATGTGTACAGGATATGCGGGTGTGGCAGGTCAAATGGCAACTTTTGGGTTCAAAAACAGGAATTCCTGCTCCAATTTAGGGTCATGGGTTTCCAGGCTTGAGAATAGGGCATCTTCAGGGAAATCATCCTCTTTTTCTCCATATTTCCCTGTCTCCTGTCCATATCACAATCATATTTTATATTTGTGATTCCATATTGTGTAATAAATGAATTGTAATTTTCTTATGTGCAAGATCTCATTTGAAAGTTACCTCGCTGTATAGCATCTACACAGTAGTCCACAGAGCAAATTAACTCCTCTATGTAGTGCCCTATAAGATTGTGGTAAATGTGTGTTTGTTGGGGTGTGGTTATAAAAGAGAACATTTTTTCTCTTTTGGTGCCCAGAATTGAGCTCAAAATGTTTCCAACGTGAAAGATGTTCCCATCCTTGAGGGTGAGAGACAAAAATAAGCAAATTAACAAAAACTTTCATTAGTTTTTATTAAGAAAATAAATAATGTATTGGCTAAAAAGAATAGTTTATATCATTTCAAAAGTTGAAATACAAAAAATGAATGATTATTAATTTTTAAACTAATATTGTAAGTATGTGATTACAAAAGGAGCAATAAACAACAGTATGTAATGTATTGAATTAATGAAGCCATAATGTATAGATAACTTGAAATGTAATAATAATGTTATTTATTATACATTGTTAAATAAATATAAATGTACCTTATTTGAACTATTTATGTGTAATTTATTTATATAAACATTATACTACTGTTATGTTACAGAAGTATTGCTTTCTGGGATAATTTTTATTTTTATATATTGTATAATTTCAAATCATAGCATGCACTAATATTCAACTTCATGTCATCATAACTCTTGGGACAGTGAAGTCTCTTAGCCACAATCAGGTGTCAAATTCAGGCTATAAGCTAAAAGACATGGTCACAACAAAGAGCCAAGGTTAAGAAAAGCTGGGGGAAGAAAAAGTACAGAAGGACTAACTCAGAGAATACATTATAAGCCTCCAACATCCAGAAAGGGCCAAAGAAAGAGGATGCATGAATCTTGGAGCATTTGTAAAGAAATTCAGATATATTTGTTTCTTGTTAATCTAGGTTAACTTGGAAAAAATGTTAACCGAATACCAGATCATGTGCCAACACATCTAAAATGTATCAGTTCATTTTTGATAATATTAACACACACATACACACACATTTCATATATACACATATATTTTATACATCATAAATCAGTGTACATTGTCCCTGAACACATTTTATTGCAGTAGATGCCATTTTTCTGTTAATTAATAGTAAGATGGAATTACACTCTAGAAATTTTTCTTGAAGGTGGTTTCAAACAAATACAAATTCCAAATTTGTTGATTGCTTACGTTAGTGAATATCTTAGTGATGGAGAGATTAACTAATTTTACATCTCCTTAATGTTAAATTCTTGGTATGTATAAATTCTCATTCTCTATGTTCTTAAAATGTAAAATTTCACTTCCTATCAATTTTTCCAATATATTGTTTGGATAGTTTTTAATAGAGGTAAAGTACATGGAAATTAAAGTGGATTATAATCTTAGTTGTTATCAATATTTTTGTGAGGTAAAACAAGACAGTTAAATTACACAGTGCGGCTGGAACTGGGATTCAGAATTAACCTATGTTGATTGTTGTTTTCTTTTCACACTTCCATATATATTTGTATCAGTTGAAGTACATAGTGGCCAAAGAGCCTCCACCAAAAATAATTTAAATCTATTCGATAAGTGGTTTTCAGACATATAGAGGCATGTGCGACAGGCGCTGGGGGTTGAAGGATGAGATGACAGGGACAAAATTACGATGATAGACTAAGAACCTCTTTATTATAATTTTTTTTTTTTTTTTACTTTAAGTTCTGGGATACATGTGCAGAACGTACAGGTTTGTTACACAGGTATACATGTGCCATGGTGGTCTGCTGCACATATCAACCCTTCATAAATGCTTGTTCTTGTGAGTAGCCTCAAAAGTAGAGCTTCGGGGTAAAGAAGCAGCAACACGCAGTAGCAGAACCTAATTCTAGTAAATGCAAGAGCAGCGGGTATGGCTGCCCACTGAGTCAACAGGATGGTGGCAATTGCTGTAATGGCATCTTGGTTTGATGAAAATTAGCAACGAAAGTGGTCTAGGGAACAATTTAAACTGATTTAAGAATGCATGTAAGACTACCTGTTAGACACAAAATTAACTGAATAAAAAGTGTTACCTTTCTTTAGACATAAGAGGGTAACGATGTAAACACAATATTGGTCCTGATAATACTTTGCTGTCATCTGCAATTTTGCTAATGTTTAGAGACATTTGCAACTCAGTAGTTGTATATAGCAAGTATATGTGGGCTAGTTTGATTAGAACAAAATGATAATATCCTAATAATCACATAGTAGGACAGGCTTGTTCTTATAAAACCTGCGATCTTTTATGAACTTACTCTTAACTATTTTACTGAGTGAATTTTTTAACAGCTTCTCTCTTATTTTCCCAGAATTAAACCTTTCTTTCCAGTCCTCCTAAAAGCCTGCATCTCATGATGAGAAAATACGGAACGAACTAAGCAATATTTAGGAATCATGATGACTGTGACATATGCAGTGATGCCCAACATTACAGATTTAAAGACAGACTAACAGCCATACCACTCTCAAGAGCCTCCTTTACCTTGTTTAAAATATATAGTTTTATCTGTTTATGCTGAAATGAAACAATATGTAATCTTTCATGTGTTAAGTTGCAAAAAACGATGTGATAAAAAATAACATGATAGCTGACATGATGGAAAAAAAATCTTAATTTGAAGTCACTTGTCTCTTAGGCTTAATTCTAGGTCTGTGGATCATGCCATGGGATCAATAGGAGGACAGTAGCAAATCTTGTCCTGTAAGTTCCATAGTTACACTATAATATTTTCACCAAAATATCCATTATTTTCTCTAGTCTTTGGTCCACACAAATGCTGTGGAGATGTTCAACTTTCCCATCATCTTCGCTATTTCACATTTGGTGACTATTCTGACCACCTCCTTTCTCAACTATACATATTTGTATCATTTTGCCTACTATGCTATGCTGAAAAAAAAGAAAATGCTGTTTAAGGCTTAGTCTGCAGATACACACTTTGCAGGCAATTCTGTGCTAGAGTGTTGCTATCCGTCACCACCTGGCTCCACCTGGACCATCATGAAAAAGTATCTTTATCTCCCAAATTCCTCCATCCTGTAAGACGTGTCTGCAGATGCTACTTTCCCAACTGATGTCTTCACTCTCTCAAGTATGAAGGAGACTATTCCAGTCTTGGAAGGTGTGGGGAAAGTAATACTTTCGCTCTTTCTGTATCCTGATAAATATTTTGTCTCTGCCATTATTTCTCTATATTTCTTTAGGGAACTAGGCTCTTAAAAATATAAATTCAGAAATAGACTCCAATTTTCTATGCTCTATTCTCTTGAGTATTTTTCCTAAGGCCACAGTACAAGATGGCCTAGATGATTTAATGAATAAAGGACAATGGGGATAAAAGGAATGCATCATTCAAAAATATGAACTTGGGTCATATGTAGTACATATTAATATTAGGACTGAAGAGGAAGAAAAGAGGAAAGCAGTTAATAATTATTGGAATAATTGAAAAATGAATGGCAGAGAATTATTAAATACAATTCAAAACCTTTGGGAAATATGACTTGAAATAGGAGTAGATAGAATGGGCAGTAATAAATACAAGGAATAAAATAGAGAGAAAGAGGTGTGTTAAATTAATAAAGATTATTTATTGACCAAATATATTTTGTTTCTGTTTTGCTTTTTCTATTTTGTTTTGATCACTATCCTAGAAGTTGAAGCATTAGCAAGACACAATTTCTTCCCCAAAACAGTTCAAAGACCAGTGGTAGAGCAAAAGAAGTAAAATAACAAAACACATCATGAGGTATAAAAACCTTAGTTAAAAGGAATTCTCTGCCGGGCGCGGTGGCTCACGCCTGTAATCCCAGCACTTTGGGAGGCTGAGGCAGGTGGATCACGAGGTCAGGGGGTCGAGACCAGCCTGACCAACATGATGAAACCCCGTCTCTACTAAAACTACAAAAAATTAGCTGGGCATGGTTGCGGGTGCCTGTAATCCCAGCTACTCAGGAGGCTGAGGCAGGAGAATTGCTTGAACCTGGGAGGCGGAGGTTGCAATGAGCCTAGATCGCACCACTGCACTACAGCCTGGGCGACAGAGCAAGACTCTGTCTCAAAAAAAAAAACAAAAGGAACTCTCATAAAGTTGATGTTGTGGTGACGATGACAGGGTGTGTGTGTGTGTGTGTGTGTGCGCGCGTCTAATGGTTTCTGAGTGAAAAGGTACTTGTGTTGCATATTAAATGAAGAGAAGGTATGTAAACAATAGAGAATATGGTGTATGTACAAAACTCAAAGCTTTTACTCAGGAGTCTACACTAGTTTACATTGCATGAAAAGACAATAAGTGAAATTCAAAAAGCGAGGAGGGATTAAAGATATTCCTGACAAAGGATAAAATGTGAAATATGAAACTTCTAATGCTAGCTATGATCGAATAGCTAGTACTGTGCTAGTCTTCACACTGTGGACAACTCTATGATTGGATACATGATATGAAACAAGTTTTTGCGGACATTAGATAGTAGGCAGCACAAAACTGTGATTCACGAGAGAAGAAAAACAAATGAGGTAAACCCCAATCCAGATATCCCAAAAGAGAATAGCTTCAGGAATATTAAAATCATCTTTCAAGGTGACAACAATTCCTGCATTTTCAAGACTTTTTAGAATAGAGCTGTATAATTTTCATGATGTGAAAAACCTTGTTCATATATTCTTTTAAAGCATTTATTCTTTTATTCTGATTTAGTAATCACTAAAGACTTGCAGGGATTTTTGGTAGAACACCTAAATAACACTACCTTTGAGGCAGAGGCAGAAAAACCTGTGTTAACTGAGATATAAGTAATACCTGTGATATAAGTTTCAGTTAGACTAGTTTATAAATTATGGTTTTATACTAACCCTGCCTCCTTAAATATATATTCTTTTCAGACAAAAACACAAGGAAGCATATTTACAGCAAAACATACAAGAAAATGTTTAGTATTTTAGCTTAATCTGCCCACTGGTAGACTCGAGTGATTTTTATAGTACTAAGAAAAATGGATCCAGAACGTCAGATTTGAAATCCCTAGAAGGGTTCCAAAATGTCAGTTGGATCTTAAGCTATGCTGTGTTTCTGTGTAAGCTCCATAAAGGAATTGCTGGACCTGTGTATTGATGAGCCACCTGTAAGAGTTTGCATTCTGCATGAAAGATAAACATCTACTTGGGGTCGTATTCTTTGAAAGAAGACACTTGGTTAACTGAGGAAACCTAAAAGTATATTTTATTAATTTTGATCAGGGTAAAACCCATGACAAAATTTTCTTAAAATTTTCTTTCCATTCTGTACAATTAACCAAAGAAAAATAAAATCTGTCTCACAGTCTTCCTTAACTTTACGATTCCTGCTATCATCAAATGTGATTATAATATCCATGAAGATGTTTTAACCTCAAAATAATTGACCCCTTTCACTCTCATTACATTCAAGTTAGCTTTCTGTGAACTGCAGATCTCCAGAGCTGTAATGCTACACGTGCATATACAAAGAAATTCCAATTTGTGATCATCACCTCACATATTCCCAGCTTGCAATGTGATAACTCTCACTACATGTTTATTTGGTTTTATTCACCATTCATTCTTTCATTTATTTATGCAATCTACAGGAATCAGACCCTTACTATATGATATGCACTCTACAAGTTGGACGCTAAAAATATAAATGTATTTGACCACTGGGCGCCATGGCTTATGCCTGTAATCCCAGCACTTTGGGAGGCCAAGAAGGGCGGATCACCTGAGGTCAGGAGTTTGAGACCAGCCTGGCCTGCATGGTGAAACCCCAGCTCTACTAAAAATTAAAAAAATTAGCCAGGTGTGGTGGCGCGTGCCTGTAGTCCCAGCTACTCGGGAGGATGAGGCAGGAGAATCGCTTGAACCTGGGAGGTGGAGGTTGCAGTGAGCCAAGATCATGCCATTGCACTGCAGCCTGGGTGACAGAAAGAGACTCCATCTCAAAAAAAAAAAAAAGAGAAAGAAAAGAAATGTATTTCATCAAACTCAGTATGCTTTATTAGCTTGTTCATGTGGGGTTTTTTAAATTTAAATTTTATTTTATTTTATTTTATTTTATTTTATTTTATTTTATTTTTTTGAGACGGAGTCTCGCTCTGTCGCCCAGGCTGGAGTGCAGTGTCGTGATCTCTCTTCACTGCAAGCTCCGCCTCCTGGGTTCATGCCATTCTCGTGCCTCAGCCTCCCGAGTAGCTGGGACTACAGGCACCCGCCACAGCTAATTTTTTGTATTTCTAGTAGAGACGGGGTTTCACAGTGTTAGCCAGGATGGTCTTGATCTCCTGACCTCGTGATCCACCCACCTCGGCCTCCCAACGTGCTGGGATTACAGGCGTGAGCCACCGGGCCGGGCCCAGTTTATTTTTTTTTTTAAGTAACCAAATGGTATGAGTGTTTAGTGTGATAAAGAAATTTATTTGCTGTGTCCTTCCATTACTGGGTATATACCCAAAAGAATATAAGTCAAGCTGCTATAAAGACACACGCACACGTATGTTTATTGCGGGACTACCCACAATAGCAAAGGCTTGGAACCAACCCAAATGTCCAACAATGATAGACTGGATTAAGAAAATCTGGCACATATACACCATGGAATACTATGCAGCCATAAAAAATGATGAGTTCATGTCCTTTGTAGGGACATGGTTGAAGCTGGAAACCATCATTCTCAGCAAACTAGCGCAAAGACAAAAAACCAAACACCGCATGTTCTCACTCATAGGTGGGAATTGAACATTGAGAACACTTGGACACAGGAAGGGGAACATCACACACTGGGGCCTGTTGGGGGTTGGGGGGAGGGGGGAGGGATAGAATTAGGAGATATACCTAATGTAAATGATGAGTTAATGGGGGCAGCACACCAACATGGCACATGTATGCATATGTAACAAACCTGCACATTGTGCATATGTACCGTAGAACTTAAAGTATAATAAAATATATATATATATAAAGTATAATAAAATATATATATATATATATATATATATATATATATATGTAAAGGAATGAATAGCAAACTATGCCTAGAGAGGGTAAAAGTTATTTTAAGGTAATATCTCTGAACTGAGGCAGAGGGAGGTGGGAGAAGCAGGAATAATGAATAATGAAAATAATGAATAATAGTCATAAGGCCTGAGATGCTCTTGTTAATTCAGACATTGTATCGCACTTTATTTGTAAATATAAAAGATGAGGCCAGAAGTGGCCCTGTGCTCAGGTCATAAAGGACCCTGCCCTGTGTCCCATGCCAGGAATCACCTGCCACATTGCAACCTGTAGAAATTGGCTTTAGTTATCATTAATCAGATTCAAATGGAGAAAAGGGAAACACATCTAATTCTCACCGTCCTTCATCTAACCTCATCGGAACTTCAAATTTTATTTCAGAAATGTGAACCACAATACCTAGCTGAATGATGGAATAAAATTTCAAGTTAGACAACATAATTATTGTGTTGTTAAAGTCAATTAATCAAAGTGAGTCTAGGTCCGCCCTCTTGATTATTAAACAATAGAAATATTGAAAGACTGACTTCAAATGAAAAAAAATGATTGCTTCTCCCAAGAAAGGATATACTGGAATTTATTGTAAGAGCAATGCAGAAAATAGATATCGCCAGGAAATATTAATGTCAGAAATTTTGTTTAAAACTACTAGTGCCATTTATGTGATAACATATGAGTGTATAAAAACACATTAGGCCTGGCGCGGTGGCTCACGCCTGTAATCCCAGCACTTTGGGAGGTCGAGGCCGGCAGATCAGGAGGTCAGCAGATCAAGACCGACCTGGCTAACATGGTGAAACCTCATTTCTACTAAAAATACAAAAAATTAGTAGGGCATGGTTGCAGGCGCCTGTAGTCCCAGCTACTCCAGAGGCTGAGGCAGGAGACTGGCCTGATCCCCGGAGGCGAAGCTTGCAGTGAGCTGAGATTACCCCACTGCACTCCAGCCTGGGCAACACAGCGAGACTCCGTCTCAAAAAAAAAAAAACAAAAAAAAACAAAAAAAAAAACACATTAATATATCTTTTTATTTATCTCCCTCTTTCTTTTACTCACTTAGTCTTTCCTTCTGCTATTGTCATTAACCACTATTTCAATGGATACAAACCATGTCACCATCCCCTGTGAATGTCTTTCCTTTCGCAATTATTTTCTGCTTCTGGCTACCTATGAACTTTTGGGATTCAGAGATTGCTTTTCTTGTCCTGTTTTATATTTTTGTTTTGTATTTTTCAATGAAGATTTCCCAGAGAGATCATTCCACAGGCTCAAGAGATAAGAAATGGTATTTTTTGTTTTTACTTCTCCAATTTCTTGTCAGAAATTATCTCTTTCTTCTCTCTTGCTACTACAGACAATTGAACTTCTTTCCAGTCTTCCAATGTGTCCTGTTCTCTTTCCACTGTCAACAACCCCAAATGCCATCCACACACTATTTCACCTACAGAAAAGGTGTTTCAGGAGTCTCCCCTAAACCTAGCTTTATGTTTTCTAACTACAATGAACTTTATTGATCATAGTATTTCAAGTAAATATTTTAATTGTCTATGTACTTTACAGTATTTGTGATGGGTAATACTGAGTGCCAACTTGATCCTTGGTGTGTCTGTGAGGGCTTGCCAAAAGAGATTAACATTTGAGTCAATGGGCTGGGGAAGACAGATCCACATTTAATCTGCTGGGCACAATCTACTCAGTTGCCAGTGAATATAAAGCAGGCAGAAAAACATGAATAAGAGAAAGCCTGGACTCGCTTCTCAACCTACATCTTTCTCCTGTGCTGGATGCTTTCTGCCCTCAAACATCGGACTCCAAGTTCTTTGGTTTTGAGACTCAGGCTGGCTCTCCTTGCTCCTCAAGCTTGCAGACCGCCTATTGCGGGAACTTCTGATATTGTAAGTTAATACCTAATAAACATCACTTTATATAATATATATATTATATATTATACATAATTATATAATATATAATATTTATATATATTATATGTAATTATATAATATTTATATATAATATATTATATAATATATCATATATTATATATATTATATATAATATATTATATAATATATATTATATATATTATATAATATATAAAATATATATGTTTTATATATTATATAATATATATAATATATGTATTTTATATATAACATATATAATATATATAATATATATATTATATATATTATATAATATATATATAATATATATATTATATATATTATATAATATATATATAATATATATTATATAATATATATATAATATGTATATTATATATTATATATGTTATATATAATATATATATTATATATATATTATATATGTTATATATAATATATAACATATATAGTATATTATATATATCTTATATACATATAATATATACTATATATCTTATACATATTATATAAATAATATATATCTTATACATATTATATAAATAATATATATATTATACATATTATATAAATAATATATATGTTATACATATTAGATGAATAACATATATATTATACATATTATATAAATAATATATATATTACATATATTATATAAATAATATATATATTACATATATTATATAAATAATATATATATTACATATATTATATATAATATATATAATATATTATATATACTATATATATATTATATATAATATATCTATTATATATATTCTGTATAATATATTTTATATATAATGTATATATGTATTATATATTATACATAATATATGTAATATATATTATACAGAATATATAATATATATTATAGAGAATATATATAATATATATCATACATAATACATATAATATATATCATACATAATACATATAATATATATTATACATAACATATATAATATATATTATACATAACAAATATTATATATATTATACATAATATATATTATATATATTATACATAATATATAATATATTATAAAGAATATATATAATACATATTACACATAATATATATAATACATATTACACATAATATATATAATACATATTACACATATTATATATAATATATATTATACATAATGTACATAATATATATTATACATAATATATATTATACATAATACATATTATACATAATATGTATTATATATATTATACATAATATGTATTATATATATTATACATAATATATATTATACATAATATATATTGTACATAATATATATTATACATAATATATATTGTACATAATATATATTATACATAATATATAGTATACATATTATACATAATATATATTATACATAATATACATAATATATATTATACATAACATATATTATACATGATATACATAACATATTATACATTATATACATAACATGTATTATACATTATATACATAACATGTATTTTACATGATATACATAACATGTATTATACATGATATACATAACATGTATTATACATGATATACATAACATGTATAATACATGATATACATAACATGTATTATACATGATATAATATACATAACATATATTATATATTATACATAACATATATTATATATTATACATAACATATATTATATATTATACATAACATATATTATATATTATACATAACATATATTATATATTATACATAACATATATTATATATTATACATAATATATATTATATATTATACATAATATATATTATATATTATACATAACATATATTATATATTATACATAATATATATTATATATTATACATAATATATATTATATAATATACATAATATATATTATATAATATACATAATATGTATTATATAATATACATAATATGTATTATATAATATACATAATATATATATTATACATTATACATAATATATATATTATATATTATACATAATATATAATATATATTATATATTATATATTATGTATATGTATATATAATATAACATATATAATATTATATATAATATATATAATATTATATTATATACATTATAATATATATAATATAATATTATATATATTATAATATATATAATATTATATTATATTAATTATATATATTATATTATACATAATATAATATTACATATATTTTATATTATATAATCTATAATATATTTTTTATTATATATAATATATATTATATATACTATAGTATATATAATATATATTATATGTAGTATAGTATATAATATATATGATATATACTGTCATATACATCATATATATTATATATACCATTATATATACTATGGCATATATAATATATATCATATGTACTATATATAATGTATCATATATAATATATTATATATATCATATATAATATATTAGATATCATATATAATATATTATATATGTTATATATAATATGTTACATATGTCATATATAATATATTATATATATCATATATAATTATATATATATGTATATATAATATATAATTATATATGACATATATAATATATCATATATAATTATATATATGTCATATATAATTATATATATGTAATATATCATATCATATACTATATATCATATCATATATAATATATTATATTATATCACATATAATATATTATATCATATATATTATATTATATCATATATAATAGATTATATCATACATATATTATATTATATCATATATTATATAATATATCATATAATCTATTATATAGAAAGGGGATATATATATACACACTTGTGCATATATGTATATACCTGTATGTGTATGTACATATATTATATATATTATACATAGTTTATACATAATATAACTATGTATAACTATTATACATAGTTTATATATAATATATCATAGATATTATATAGAATATATAAAATATAACATATAATATATAATATATAATATATAACAGATAATATATAAAGATAATATAGAACATATTATATAATATATAATATTATATAATATGTTATATATTATATAATTATATATAACATATGATATATTATATATAATATATAATTATATAATACATAATATATTATATATAATTATATATAATATATAATATATAATTATATAATACATAATATATTATATATAATTATATATTATATATAATATATAATTATATAATACATAATTATATATTATATATAATATATAATTATATAATACATAATATATTATATATAATTATATATTTTATATAATATATAATATATAATACATAATATATTATATATAATTATATATTATATATAATATATAATTATATAATACATAATATATTATATATAATTATATATTATATATAATATATAATTATATATAATATACCATATATTATAATATATAATTATATTATATTATATTATAATAATCATATATATTATATAATATATGATCATATATTGTAATATATGATCATATATTGTAATACATGATTATTAGATATAACATATAAGCATATATTATAATATATGGTATATTATATATAATTATATAATATATGATCACATATTATAATATGTAATCATATATTATAATGTATGATCATATATCATATATATAATATATGATATATATTATATATATGATCATGTATTATATATATGATGTACATTATATATATGATCACATATTAAATATATGATATATATTATATATATTATCATGTATTATATAATGTATAATCATATAGTATATAATACATAATATATTACAATATTTAATAATTATTTATGATATATAATATATAATATAATATATAATTATTATATAATATATATGATATATCATATATATGATATATGGTATATATAATATATGATATATCATATATAATATATGGTATATTATATATAACCTATATATTATATAAGATATATAATATATACACATACACATACATGTATATACATATATGCACATTTGTGTGTGTATACATCCCCTTTATATATAATATATTATACATGTAACCTATACAGATTTTATATATAATATATTATATAGGTTATATATATAATATATTATATATAGGTTATATATTATATATAATATATTATATAATATATTATATATAATATATTATATAATATATTATATATAATATTGTATATATTATATGTAATTAGTTATTAGTATATAATAATATATAATACATTATTTAATTTATTATATATAATATTTTATATAACCTGTATAATATATATTACATATATAAGTTATATATTATATATTTTATATATATAACCTATATATTTCGTATATATAACCTATACATAATATATAGTTTACACCTATATAATATAAAGCTATATATAGGTTTATAGGTTACACTTATATAATATACTCCTATATAATATTTAATATATACATGTATATATATTATATAATATATATACACACCTATATATAATATACATAAACCTATATATTATATAATATATATATAATATACACCTATATATAATATACACATATAATATACACCTATATATTATATATGTATATTACATATATTTATATATGTATTATGCATATATCATATACACATATATACACATATATACACATATAATATACATTTATAATATACATATATGCATATGTAATATACATATATGTATATAATATAATATACACCTATATATAATATATATCACATATATAGTTTATATATAATATATAATATATTGTATATTATATTTTATATATGTAACCTATATATAATATATATTACATATAACCTATATAATATTTATATTATATATGCACCCCATATATATAATATATATATTATGTATGCACCCCATATATATAATATGTATATTATATATACACCCTATATATATAATATATATCCAATATTGTATCCTTGGGGTTGAATTTGATTTCACAGTGTACAGTAAGTATTTGCTAAATAAATAAATGGCTAAGTGAGTAAAAAGTCAACTCTTAGTTCAAACCCCTTATTCTCTTTGCCAGTTTAAACATCATCTCTGAACTCAGGACTTCAGATTTCTAAGCTACATAATGAGAGTTTTGAACTAGGTGACAACTAACTTCAATTTCAGATGTTAAATGCTTTTTGCTTTACAAGTGGTGAGCTTGAGATGGAACCTACCTTCCATTGGCATCATATTAATGTTATGTAGGACCTTCATAATAGTGATATTCCTGACTTCTCTTTATTCCTTTCTGGACAAGGAAGAATGATTTACCTGACTGGTGAGTTTGGGTGAAGAAACTGGCCATAAATTGCATTTGATGGCAGCTAGGACATGTTCTCTTCTTCAATCTTAGTCTTGCACCAACACGACCAGGACAGATTTTGTTCCTGCTGGTAAGGGATGATGCTGCCTTTGGCCAGGGAATTATTAATAAGTGCCTCTAACTTTGGCTTCTTTGCCTATAAACTGAAGTCATAGTATACACCACTTCATCAGTAATGGAAAGAGTGGTTTTGTTTCCATTTTCCTGAGTCTTTGTCTATCTCTAACTTGGTTCTGAACTTTGGAGGAAAAAATAAGACTGTTATTTATGAGGCTTTACAAATTTCAAGAGGTAAAAGCTAAGAAAATGGTACTTACTTTTCTCTGTTTTCAACCTTTTCAGATAAGCAGGAATGTAATTTGAACATTCACATGTGTGTGCCTATATTTGTGTGTGTGTCTGTATATATGTATATATATATATGCATGTGTATATACATTAATACATAAGCATATGTAAAGAAAAATAAAAATGGTGGCTACAATTTAGATATACCTCAAGGTCAACTGTTTATAGCTGCATAATCAAAACTTAAGTCATTCCGATTTGCCCAAAACGTTAGTTCCAATTACAAAAAAAATACACAAAATATAAGCTTTAAATTCTTATCAGTGTCATTTGATGATATTAAATCAATCAGCTATAGATGAATCAGCTTAAACAGCTCCACTTGCCCTAAATAGAGTGTTAACGTATATCAGCCAATCACAAATTAGATTCTTTATGCATCATAAACTATGCTGTAACTGCTGTGAGCTGGACTCCTTGGCACTTTCAGTTTGAGGTCTCCCAATTTGTGAACTATTATTTCATATGCACAAGAAACTTTTAAAGATTGTTAAATTCCATCTGATATTATTAATGACATACATACATGTAAATATATTTATATATTTTTACAAGGCTATTTATGATATGCAAAATTTAAACTTGTGTACTTATAAACTCAAATACTTTAAATATTGAGTTTGAGTACATTACAGTCCAAATCCCTTCAGTGGTGCAGGAAATGGTACATAATATGCGAGCAAGACAATTTCACACTGAACATTCGCAAATTTCGTAAAGGAAAATAGTCACAGATAAGCTGGTAAAATAAACTGTTGAAATGGAAATTGAGAATCTACAAATTTCTGAGACCTTGTGTCTCAAAGATTATATTTTGTAAATTGGGTTTTCTTATAATTCATATTTTAATTTTTATTTTTAGAAATGGGTTCTAGCTCTGTAATCCAGGGTTGAGTGCAGTGGTGCTATTATTGCTCAGTGTAACCTCAAACTGTTGGGCTCAAAAGATCCTCCCGCCTCAGCCTCCTGAGTAGCTGGAATTACAGATTTGTGCCATTACACCCAGCAATATATACATATATTTTTTTTCTTAAAGAAACAAGGTCTCATTACATTGACCATGCTGGACTCGAACTCCTGGCCTCAAGTGATCCTCCTACCTCTGCTTCCCACAGATTATAAAAGCCTATAGTTTTCTGGGAACATTTTAGCTGCCAAGGGAGAATACTCATCAGAAGGAGAACACCCAGAGGGAAAAAAGTGGAAGGTGGTAAGAGAGGTACAAAATTCTAATGGCATTGTTTTATATCCTGAAATCAGCACTGCATGAAGCCGCCTCTCCTTCACATACTCTATAAGTATGTCATAAGCAAATACATTCATTCTTTTTCTCCTGTTAGAAATAGATTCTGATACCTCAACCAAAAGAGTTCCGACCAACAAATAACACATAAATCATGAGATTTAACAAATATGGAATCAGAAATTAGTTTAGGAAGAGTTTGGACTGATGTAAAGATTAATGAAAGATGATATTGGCTTCAACATTTCTTTCATTTAAACAATTATATTTTATTTAGGAAGAGATGAGGAAACTTTGGAAGAATTTGGCATCGCATAGTGTAGTTATTAACTAGGTTTTTTTTATTGTTGTTGCTAATCCAGTTACAGAAATGGGATTCTAGCATTGTATTAAAGCTCATCAGAAAAGACCGTTGTGACATTAGTATTGTGTCTCCTGGTTGCAGTGAAATTAACAAATGTGCCGTGTGTGCCATTCATCATATATAATGGAAAGATTATGGACTTGGGGATGATATTAATCCTGTATCCAGTACTACCTAGATAGATACAATTGTTGTTTATATGTATTCAGTATAATCCACATCACTTATCACGATATTAACTGGCTGTGATATTTATCCCTATTTCAAAGAAGAGGAAATCGAGTTCTCAAAGGTGATGTGGCTAACCTAACATTTCAGAATTAGTTTAGGGAGAAGCTACTCAAATTCAAATTTATCAGGCATAACGCTTAAATTCATTCCCAGGTCCTGTTATTTGTTTGATGTTTATGTTTTGTTTGTTTTGTTAATCAACATCCCAATTTTAAAAAGCCACTCTAATGTTCATAAAGAAACAGAAAGGTCAATGAATTGGAATGATCTATTAAGTGGTGTTGGTTGAGATGGCTCTTTAGTTGACCAACAAGTGGCTTTTTCGCCCTCCCCCTGGCCCCCCCACCAAAGCAGTAATCATGAGAGCCTCTGTAGAAAAATTTGTTGGTCGGGCATGATGGCTTACAATTGTAATACCAGCACTTTGGGAGGCCAAGGCAGATGGATCCCTTGAGGTCAGGAGTTCAAATCACGACTAGCCTGGCCAACATGGTGAAACCCCATCTCTACTAAAACCACAAAAACTAGCTGGGCGCAGTTGCACACACCTGTAGTCTCAGCTACTCGGGAGGCTGAGGCAGGAGAATGTCTTGAACCTGGGAGGTGGAGGTTGCAGTGCGCTGAGAGCGTCCCACTGCACTCCAGTGCTCAGTCTCAAAAAAAAAAAAAAAATTGCCTACCTCACAACTTTATGAAAGTTTTATGCCTTTCTGTGAACTGGACAACACCATAAAAAAATTATCAGGAAAATTTCAAATAAGTGAACACATACTTCATTTTAAAAATGACAAAGTGATTTTGTTTGTTTGGAAATATTTTATTCAATCTTCACACTCATTCTTTTCATAAAACTTGATAAAAATACATACAAAGATATTTTTCTACATTAAAAACATCTAAAAGGATTTTTCCTTATTGAATATCACACTATTTTTTCATATAAAATTGTCAGAAACCTTTTCCCTTTAGTCTATAATATGATGGCAATATGACAAGTCATGTTTTACTACCACATATCTAAATTCCTTGGGAGACTGTTGTAACTTTTATGCAATGGGGAGCCATGTGTAGATATATGAGTTGTTGAAATTTTAAATAGCTTTAAATGAAAATAATATGTTGCCTAAATAATGCAAAGAATATATTTTAATATTCAAAATGATTCTATAAATTACTGTCTTACCAAAAATTTCAAGGTCAAAGATTAAAGAATACATGTCGAGGTATTTATAGTTATAAGGATGAAAAATAGGCTAAAACTTTTAATCAGGCATGATGGTATTAATGTGGCACTAAAATCTATCAATCAAAATCAAAATGTTCTGTGGATAAACATAGAAATGACATCATTACTTAACACATTCGTTAATACATAGAAATGCACATGCTTACAACAATCAAATATTTCAGTGATTCAATTTTACAGTGGTAAGTAGATGAATATATATAAATATTCCTCTGTTTAAAATGTAATCATATTTTATAAGTAGTCTATGTTTTTTGAGTTTTAATTTATGTTTTTTGTTGTTGTGCTTACATGTTTTCTCTATATCTTTTTCTTAAAGTCGTATAATAACTTCTACTGTTCAATAGATAATAATATTTCTTCTCTTGGATTTAATGGATAATGCCGCTCTATTGTTAATTGTATATAAAGAAACCCTGCTCTTTTGCTAATTCCCTATAAAAATTATATTGGCATTTTCCTAGAGAGCAGCAACATGTTGCCATACAAAAGTCTTGGTTGAGAGTTTATGGCATGTGGATATTGGTCTCAGTCATGCCACCAATAATAGTTACATTGAGTATATATTGCACAGTAATTTTTTTCAGTCTGTGTTTCCTAAGTAGTAAAATAAGTTATAGGAAGATGTTAAAGCAAGATGTCTTTAAGGAATTTTTTGTTTCTGAGACATGTATTGATTCTATTTAAATAATAAGGGATAAATTTTATAAGGTTATAATAATAGGGTAACCATTTTTTCTATGCTTTCATTAAATTAGTGCTGTTAATTCTGAGCTTTTCTATTATAAAATCCTTAACTTGAAAAAGCACCTCAAGTTTTCAAGCAGAAGTACTATCGAGCAAGTGTCCTCTGCATGGGGACTACTGAAGAGGGCACTTTTTGGAGTGTGATTTCCCTCAAAATATCATCTTTCTGTCTACTTAATTCTCTATCTAGCTTTTGTTGAAAACTTTGCAACTGTTTCTTCCACCCGTGAGCAAAGAATCCAATTAAAACTGAAATAAAAGCATTTATTCCTATTTCATTTTGTTGGTTCAGATCAGCACCAGCTGGTATTTTCATGGTGTGTGGTTTCTACAAACCAACATATTGAGGTCAATTCTGGATTTTCATCAGTTGCAAACTATGAAAAATGTCAGTTCATGATGAGTGATAATCCAAAAAGTGGCGTGGCCAACTAATTTAAGGTTACACATGTGAGTCCCTCTCACTTTGGTGGTTTCATGTATGCTCAGATAAAATGTACCTTCAGAAAACACTGAAGGTGCTGTCTTTTAATTTTATTTGTGAGAACACTTTACTTCATGGCTTTGATGGTTTCAGTTGAAATTATAGTTTCAGTCATTTGTAAAACCTCCAAATTTACTTCGTATTATATTTTTATATTTGATTTTAATTGGAAGATTATTTTGGAAAATATGAAGTTCTCTTCATTCTACTTCTAATTTCCAATTTGTGGCTACTATCATCTAGCATACCCATTGAAAATTATAAATGAAATTTAAAGAATTATCTCAAATAGTTTTTCTAACATAAAATAAACACAGCACAATTTGATAAAAATTGCCTTCTACAGCTTTACAATTAGTTTTTCTTTGAAAAAACATCTAGTTTCAAAGTGGTGTTGATGATTGCAATGAATTTTTATTCAAATAAGATAAGTTATATAATGGGCCTAAAGTAAGTAAGAAAGATTCTTTATCATTAAACTTTCACATTTTTCTAGATTTTGAAATGGCATTCTCCTTCAATAAATCCCAGAGAAGAAATATTATTGTCTATTGAACAGTAGAAATTATTATAGGACTTTAAGAAAAAGATATAGAGAAAACATGTAAGCAAAACAACAAAAAACATGTATTAAAACTCCAAAAACATAGACTACTTATAAAATATTAATAATAGAGAATGTATGGCAGCATTTTCTCTCTTACTAAATGCTATAAATAGCTACACATATTGGGAGAAATGGATCAGAAGTCAAAATTACAAATAAAATCCTGAAAGATGCCTATTACCTCTATCCTTTATAGTTTATCAGATTGGTACTTGTGAAATATCAACCTCAAAGTAAAATCAAACAACAGAAATAAAAACAAATTCTCCATAATAGACCAAATTTTCATTAATTCAATGGACTGTGATAAATGAAATTTGGGGAAAACCATGGTTATCTTACATTTTAACAGCTTAGATGTAGAAAGGCAAGAAGAGAGAGAAGGTGAAGAGAGAGAGTCCAGGAATTTCCTTGCAGAAATAAGCTTGCCCTAAGGAACTAGGGCCCTATGCAAAATCTGATTCCATGTTTCTTCTTTTAAGTCAGTGTCCCTTGCTCCTTGTCTCCCGCTCCACCTTTCACCCTTTCTTTTTTTTTTTATTTTTTATTTTTATTTTGAGACGGAGTTTCCCTCTTGTTGCCCAGGCTGGAGTGCAATGGAGCGATTTCGGCTCACCGCAACCCCCGCCTTCCAGGTTCAAGTGATTCTCTTGCCTCAGCCTCCCCAGTAGCTGGGACTACAGGTGCCCGCTCAGCTAATTGCTTTTTATTTTTAGTAAAAATGGGGTTTCCCCATGTTGACCTAGCTGGTCTCGAACTCCTGACCTCAGGTGATCCGTCCGCCTTGGCCTCCCAAAATATTGTGATTACAGGCGTGAGCCACCGCGCCTGGCCCCCTTTTCATCCTTTCTCTCTTTCTAAATACCACTATAACTATTTTCTCTGAAGGTTTATTTTGCTTGCACTCTCTGCGTGTGTGTGTGTGTGTGTGTGTGTGTGTGTGTGTTTCTAAATACCACTATAACTATTCTCTTTGAGGGTTTATTTTTGAAATCTTTCACTCAAGGTTTCCTCCATCAAAGTCTGTCAGATTTGGGCATGCCCACAGTCAGGTTGTGATTGGAAGTCAGACTCTTTGTGCTTCTCCTTGTGGTCTTGTAATTGCCTACACAAGAGCAATCAAACATATCAGCTAGAACAATCATCTGTATCAGCTGGAAACCTGTCTTTAACTTAAGTGAACACCCCAGTTGAACACATTTTATTTGGACAGTTATTTCTGCTGGAAAGAAATCATGTCTCTTCCAAGGTTTCCTGAATTGAAGAATAGGGTCTACAGGTTTTAGGAGCAGAATGTGTGGAAATAATCAGAAGACATGCTTTGCCCTTTGTATATAGCTAAGTGAAATAATGTAAAAATCAATATTTGGTGACCCTTTGAGAAAAATCTTGAAATTCCAGTCTGTCAAATATCTTTTAGGATTCTGAGCATTCGTGTAGCCTTTATTTCCTTCATAATAAACTAAGAATGAAAAACTATCTTGTATTTTATAAATAGATTTTCTTCTTATCCTAAAAAAATGAGTTGCACAAATGACAGTAAGTAACTCCAAGTCAGTGTTTTTACCCAATTCACCTTTTGCAAATTTAGCTCTAACAGCAGTTATTATTGACAGTGACACATATAGACTACATAACACAAGGTGAGGGCCTGGTAATCTAGCATATGGCTTAAAGTACATTAGAGGATTTTGACAAACAAAATTGGCAATTTAATTGCATTACTGAAAACTCTAAAATATACACAATAAAGAAAACAAAGAAACTACATTATTTAAATCTCCATGATTTTCACACACACACAAGTATGTGAAAAATAAAAGGATTAAAATAATTAAATTAAAACACGAGATTCCTTGTATTAACTGTAAATATATCACATTTCAGATTTTACAAATCTTTATTCAAGTTATTATACTACTGAGTAATTATCTTTAGTACTTTTCAAACAATGCCTCCAATGATCTACAGGGATCATTTTTTTCAAACTAGTTTCTTGGTTTCAAACTCTTGGTTATCTAAACCTCAGTCCCTAGGAATAGTGCCAATGTCTTATTCATCGTAGAATACAGCTTATTTCTTAAGACAGAAAAAAAAAATTCAATCAATGTTTCTTGAATGAATAAAATAAAACTATTCTTACACACATGCACAAAATCATACAAGAGGTAATTAATCTGCTACTCTGGGGTCAGTCCCTTCATGCATATTTATAGCAACTCACCAGGATGATAACTTATGGATCAAGAAGAGCTTTGTATGTACCTATGATAAAGAAATATGTTAAAAAGACTGCCTAATACTCCCTTTTCATCTAAGTTTTCCATTTTGTGCTGAACCAAGCATATACTTGTTTGATGAATATATTATATTAAGCAGTCAGGGGGTTGGGGAGAGTATTGAATATTCTTCCAGATTTTTAAATACCAGTGAGGCAGAAGAGAAGAGCTGCTAACTGCATTTGCAGTTTTCTAGCCAAAATTAGGCTAGAAAACATAAGCATTTATGTTGCATTGACATCACAAACTTCTTACTATTCGAGCAAGATAACTGTATTATGAACTTTAATATGCTTTGGAGAAATAAAGAGGAAATAGAATGAAGAAGCTTTCTTTATTCTCACTTATGGCAGAGAATGCCTTGTGTGAAATGGTTTACAAAAGGAGTCATTTAGAGAATTGAACTAAAAGACATGTTTTAGCTACATTTTTGCAGACACAGAAATAAATATATTTATAATGCATAGTACAATAGTGGATGTTAAATGAAAATTTATTCAATTGTGCTGAAATCACAATTTCTCCTCATTTTTTGTCTTTGTTTCTAGAAAGTTATAATAAGCTACAGAAACACACATAGCCAGAAAATCAATTTAATTTGGTCTAAGGCAGCACACGTTTAAAATAATGCTAACACACAGATATTGGCTAGATTAATTGCCACTCTAACTCTCCTCATCCTTGAAAACTTTAGGATGAAAAGGTGAAATATTTGAAGAAAGAAGAAAATATGTGCCGGATTTTGATGAATGAAATCTAAGTGTATCTCTACTGTGAACATGCTAAGAATGTTTTAGCCTTCTTAATAAGTAAAAGGGGCAGGTAGCCTTCTCATTCACACTTAGAAAATAAATTAATAACTAGATCTCTGGCAATCTCATATGACTGATAAGTCCAAGAGAACATAGGGATGCTGAACCCAGCATCAGAAACTGCCTATTTGTAGATGTCTTGTTAAGTATGCAGGTTTTCTTTATACGTTGCTATGTTATTATCAAACATTAATTAGCTATTTGTAAGATATAATTTAGTTTATTGATTCATTCTTTCATATCTGTTCACTAAGTTCAGTTATTAGTAAAAATAGAAAAATGAAGAGTATAGTTATTTTTTTCAAGAAATATTAATGTCTCTTGTTTCTTGGTTTTGTTTTTTGTTTGTTTTGTTTTGTTTTGTTTTGTTTTGTTTTGTTTTTGCGAAGTCTATCCCAGGTCTAATGATGAGTGAGACAAAAATGAAGATATCTAAAAGCTGTTATCATAAAAATATATAAACATTTATAGACACTGGCATACATTATCTAGTCAGAGAAATGTTTTCATATGGTAAAAGTATAAAACTTGTATATAACTTACTATAAAACAATGCCTTAAAACAGTAAATCAGCACAAATAACTATAAGAAAATAATTGTTTAAAAACATTTTAATAATCTAAACATTATTTACTTTGTAAAGGATATACCAAATTAAGTTTTAAATAGTTTAGACATTAATAAAGTTTAAATCATTGCGTGTTGTTAAACCATAGTACATGACCAAGGCTCTATTCAATAAAATGCATAGGTTTAAGTATATTATTATAAAGCCAATTTAATAGAATTAATGAAAGAATTTAAGATGTTTGTAAATAATAAAATAATACAAAGACAATTAAATGGCAGAAAAAAAACGAACACCATTGCAGTATATATATAAATTAGAGAAAAATCTGAAAAACAAAAACTGTAAAATAAATAAAGAAAGCAAATAAAACTGTGACCTAGTTCTTTAAAATGATCAACATGATTTATTAAACTTTTAGGCAGCTGAGAGTTATTGGCTTTGAAGGAAGAACTGGAAAATGAAAATCAAAGTGACTAGACACATATAATCTTTTCTATGAGTATTTATATGGCTGACTTACCTTTTCCTATTTGTAGTTGTTCTTAATCAGAATTGTTCTGTCATTGACAGTGATGTCAAGTCTTACTTATCATAGAGTAATATTTTATTTTATATTTAATATTTAATATTACTTATCATAGAGTAATATTATTTAGCATAACTTATTTTGGACATCCTAAATTTTATATAAAATTTAACCGACAATTCAAATATTTCTAACTGTATAAATACACAGATGTTTTAATAGACAGTATGTAAAAAATTGAATAATTAATAGGATTCTGCTAGTCTTAAAAATCAATAGACATAATGGTGTTAAAATATATATTTGTTAACAATAACAAGTAAAATGCTTATAATAATTTGACATTTCTGTATTGACTTTCTACATGTGTAAGCAAGAGGTATTTTGTCATAGCTAATTGAAAAAGGAGATTGATCTTATTTCTTTTTAGTGCATTCATCTGTGAATGGATTTAGTGATAGAAGGAGAAAGGAGACTATGTGAGTAGAGCAGTATGGTTCCTGTTTGCCTTCTGACTCCTGAGAACTGGATGATTGTTATTATGAACTGGTTGTGCAGGAATCAATCACTTTTTTTTATCCCAAAGGACCAACTATTAATTTTGAAGTGGGTGGAAGAGTGACTATCAATGTATTTACAAATATGAAATGCCTGAAATTTTACTGCAGTCACCCGGATGGTCAATTTCTTTTTCATTTTAAATGACACTGGAATATGCCAAATTATATTTAATGAAAAACAGCCAAATTTTTTTTGTTTTTTATTTTTCCAACAAAGATTTCTTGGAAATTAGTTTTATTAACCCATCTCCACTTTTTGTCCCAACAACTTGTAAGAGACTTTATGCTCCAGATTAAGTTCAATATATATTAGAAACATAAGTTCTTTATTATGTCAAAGCAATCACAAACATCAAGCCTCTCTCTCTCTCTCTCTCTCTCAAGGCAATCACAAATGTGTATGAGGAATAACATCTGAAGAAGTTGACATTATGGACATTCCACTACGTTGCAGAATAGAAGGAGATTTTCAGCCTTACACTCAGGTGATGACAGAATGCTTAGTGGATAGCTCTATCTTGACCTGTGGTATCACCCCACCCACAAATCGTCCCCTTTTACAGTCTGTCATCACTCTTAACACATAGTTTTCCTTGATAAAACTTCTAACTTTCCCCATTGGAAGGCGTTTCACCTTTTGGAACCTCCTTGTTTCCTGTTACTTTAAGCAGTTCTTTAGGTTTGGGCCACACAATTATAAAAATATTTTCTCAATCTTCTTGGGCTCAAAAGAAAATAAACAGTTCCAAGAATTAGATCTAATGCAAGTGACCCACTTTCTAGCCTGCCTTCCCAGTAGTGAGAGTTATTTCTCATGTGAAGTAAGCACAGCTTCAGTGATAAACATTTTTCTTCAGTGATTCAGTTAACCCATACTGAGCTAATGGTCTTTTTCCTTTTTACATGGTTCTAGTTTTATTCAGTTAGGAATAATAGCCACCCCTCCTTTATTATTTTCCTGAGATGAACTTGGTTCTTTTCTGCCCCACATAAAACCTGGCTGAATTGTAAGAGAAAGTACAGGGACTGTAAAATGTGTCTCTCTCTGTGTCACTCAGTGGACTGGAACAGATCCAATGCACCAGCAAAAAATAACCACATTTCGACTTGAAACCTCCTTTCTAATGGAAGAAATAAGGAAGGACTTGATGCTGCTCTTTGTGAATATTCTCCTGTTCTCAAATACTTCTTTTTTTTCTTTTTTCTGTGACAAGGAATAAGAGAGTACTTTTATTGCTCCCCAAAAGACACCCCTGAGATGGAGACAGAGAAAGACAGTCGAACAAAAGCCTCCACTAATTTTCTTCCCGGCAGGAACACCAAATAAGCACTTTCATAAGAACCAGATATTAGCTTAGGTACCGGCTTAACCCAAGTGGAGTAGAGCACTGAGTGGGTTCTTACAGTCCCTG
The DNA here is from genome assembly GCF_000001405.40 of Homo sapiens. Classification (NCBI taxonomy): domain Eukaryota; kingdom Metazoa; phylum Chordata; class Mammalia; order Primates; family Hominidae; genus Homo; species Homo sapiens. Next base: position 14,151 of record NW_021159992.1, on the reverse strand, counting down.
ATTCTAGGGCTTGGCTCTTGGATTGCATTTCTAGACCTGCCCTGGGCCAGAGGGGAATCCACTGCACTGGAGAGTCTCACACCTTGCAGCATTCACTACACACTGAGCGGAGAGCCCTTGGGCCTTGAGTGAATATTGGCAATAGCCAGGAAGTACTCACCATGGAGCTGCAGTGATGGTGGCCATGAGGAGTAACTTCTCTGACTGTGTAAAGGGAAGGGAAAAGTTGAAAGTTTAGTGGCTTAGATGTAAATTTAGCCACAGTAGAATAAAGCACCAGGTAGACTCAAGGTTTTCAACTCTAGGCCCTGGTTCCCAGATGGCATCTCTGGACCTACTGAGTAATAAAGGAAACATGCAGCCCTAAAGGAAAGGACACAAGCATTGTCGTCTTTTTCTTTTTTTTTTAAATTTAATTTAACTTAATTTTAGGTTCTGGGATACATATGCAGGACGTGCAGGTTTGTTACATAGGTAAACATGTGCCATGGTGGTTTGCTGCACCCGTCAACCCATCACCTAGATATTAAGCCCTACATGTGTTAGCTATGTATCCTGATTTTCTCCTTCTCCCAGCCCCTCCCCTGACAAGCCCCAGTGTGTGTTTTTTTTCTCCCTGTGTCCATGTGTTCTCATTGTTCAGCTTCCACTTATAAGTGAGAACATGCAACATTTGGTTTTCTGTTCTTGTGTTAGTTTGCTGAGGATAATAGAGTCCAGCTCCATCCATGTTCCTGCAAAGGACGTAATCTTGTTCCTTTTTATGGCTGCATAGCATTCCACAATGTATATGTACCACATTTTATTTATTCAGTCTATCATTGATGATCATGGACATGATACTACGTCTTTGCTATTGTGAATAGTGTGGCAGTCAACATACGTATGCATGTATCTTTATAATAGAATGATTTATATTCCTTTGGGCATATACCCAGTAATGGGATTTCTGGATCAAATGGTATTTCTGATTCTAGGTCTTTGAGGAATCACCACACACTGTCTTCCACAATGGTTAAACTAATTTACATTTCCACCAAAAGTGTAAAAGCATTCCTGTTTCTCCACAACCTTGCCAGCCTCTGTTGTTTCTTGACTTTTTAATGATCACCATTCTGACTGGTGTGAGATAGTATCTCATTGCTACAAAATATTAAAATACCTAGGAAAACATCTAACAAGGGAAGTGAAGGACCTTTTCAAGGAGAACTGCAAATTACTGCTCAGGGAAATCATAGAGGTCACAAACAAATACAAAAATATTCCATGCTCATGGATACAAAGAATCAATATCATGAAAATGGCCATGCTGTACAAAGTAATTTATAGATTCAATGCTATTCCCATTAAACTACTATTGACATTCTTCACAGAATTAGAAAAAAATAGTTTAAAATTCACATGGAACCAAAAAAAGGACATATAGCTAAGACAATCCTGAGCAAAAAGAACAAAGCTAGAGGTATCACTCTACCCAACTTTAAACTATATTAGAAGGCTACAGTAATAAAAAAAAAATGGTACTTGTACAAAAACAGCCACATAGACCAGTGGAACAGAAGAGAGAATTCAGAAATAAGACCATATATCTACAAACATCTGATCTTCAACAAATCTGACAAAAACAAGCAACGGAGTAAGGATTCCCTATTTAATAAATGGTGCTGGAAAAACTGGCTAGTCATATGCAGAAAATTGAAACTGGACACCTCCTTACACCTTATTCAAAAATTAACTCAAGATGGATTAAATACTTAAATGTAAAACCCGAAACTGTAAAAACCCTAGAAGAAAATCCAGGCAATATCATTAAAGACATAGACTTGGGCAAAGATTTCATGATGAAAACGTGAAAAACAATTTCAACCAAAGAAAAAATAGGATCTAATTAAACTAAAGAGCCTCTGCACAGCAAAAGAAACTATCATCAGAGTGAACAGACAACCTACAGAATGGGAGAAAATTTTTGCAATCTGTTCATCTGACAAAGGTCTAATATCCAAAATCTACAAGGAACTTAAAAAATACAAGAAAAAAACAGATAACCCCATTAAAAAGTGGACAAAGGACATGAATGGACTCCTCAAAAGAAGACATTTATGTGGCCAACAAACTTGAAGAGAAGCTCAACATCACTGATCATTAGATAAATGCATTGCTGTCTTTACCACCTGCTGATTATAGAGCCCTGGGGCCTTGAGCAAACATACGCAGTAGCCAGGTAGTGGTTACGTCAGGCCTTGGTGACACTCAGTGCTGTGTTGGCTTCAGATCTGACCCAGCACAGTCTCAGTGGTTGTGGCTATAGTGGTGCTTTTGTCACCTTTCTGGGAGCTCCAGGCACCTCAGCACAGAGAGGGTGCCTCCATTTATTTGGGTGAAAGAAAGGGAAGAGAACAAGATTCTCTGCCTAGTAATTCAGAGAAATACTCTAGATATTATCCAAGACCATCAAAGTGGTACCTCTACAAGTCTGGAAGAATCACAGCGTTACTGGGCTTGGGATGTCCCTTAATGCAGATATGGCTGCAGCGACCAAAAGCTTAGATCACAAAACTCAAATCCCTTTGAAGACTTGGAAAATTTTCCCAAAAAGGGCAGGTATAAACAAGCACAGACTGCAAAGATTACATACAGTAAATCCATGACTCCTCAATTCACAGACACCATTGATATTCAAAAGCATCAAGACCATCCAGGAAAACATGACCTCACAAAACAAACACAATAAGGTATCAATGGCTAATCTTGGAGAGAAAGAGATATATGACCTTCCAGAAAGTGAATTCAAAATAGCTGTTTTGAGGAAACTCTATGGAGTTGAAGATAACACAGAGAAGAAATTGAGAATCTTACCAGATAAACTAAAATAAAAAGATTGAAATAATTTAAAAGAATCAAGCAGAAATTCTAGAGTTGAAAAATGCAATAGACACACAGAAGAATGAATCAGAGTCTCATAACAGCAGAATTGCCCAAACAGAAGAATCAGTGATCTTGAAAACAGGGTATATGAAAATTCACAGAGAGAACCAAAGAAAAAAGAATTAAAAAGGATGATGTGCCTACAAGATCTATAAAATAGCCTCAAAAGCGCAAATTTAAGAGTTATTGGTCTTAAAGAGTAGGTAGAGAGACAGGGGTAGAAAGTTTATTCCAAAGGATAATAACAGAGAAATTCACAAACCTAGAGAAAGATATCAGTATTCAGGTACAAGAAATTGTAGAACAGCAAGCAGATTAAATCCAAATAAGACTACCTCAAGACATTTAATAATCAAACTGTGAAAGGTCAAGGATAATGAATGAATCATAGAAGCAGCAAGAGAAAAGAAACAAATAACATATAATGGAGCTCCAATACATCTGACAGCAGACTTTTTAGTGGAAAACTTACAGGCCAGGAGAGAGTGACATAGCATATTTAAAGTATTGAAGGAAAAAAAAAGAACTTTTATCCTAGAATAAAGGTAAAAATAACCTTCAAAATGAAAGTGAAATACTTTCCTAGACAAACAAAAGCTGAGGGATTTCATCAACACAAGACCTTTTCAACAGGAAATGCTAAAGGAAGTTCATCAGTCTGAAAGAAAAGAAAATTATTGATCAAGAGGAGACCATCTGAAAGTATAAAACTAACTTATAATAGTAATACACAAGGCTGGGCATGGTGGCTCATGCCTGTAATCCCAGCACTTTGGGAGGCCGAGGTGGGTGGATCACCTGAGGTCAGGAGTTCGAGACTAGCCTGGCCAACATGGTGAAACACCATCTCTATTAAAAGTACAAAAATTAGCCGGGCATGGTGGCAGATGCCTGTAATCCCAGCTACTTGGGAGGCTGAGGCAGGAGAATCACTTGAACCCAGGAGGCAGAGGTTCCAGTGAGCCGAGATGGCGCATTGCACCCCAGACTGGGGGACAAGAGCAAAACTTTGTCTCAAAAAATAAAAAGTAATACACAGAAAAACACACAGTATTACGACACTGTAATTGTGATGTTTAAACTATTTATATCTTAAGTAGAAAAGACTAAAAGATGAACCAATTAAAAATAATAATTACAACAATTTTTTAAGACATGGATAGTACAGTAAGATATAAATAGAAACAACAGAAAGTTAAAAAGTGGGAAGATGGAGTTAAAAAGTGTAGAGTTTTCATTAGTTTTCTCTTTTTGTTTATTAGTTTTTTTGTTTATCCACTGTTGTCATCTTTTAAAAATAATGGGATATATTATATTGTTTGCAAGCATCATGTTAACCCCAAATCAAAAAACATACAGTTTATACACACACACACACACACACACACACACACACGTAACAAGAAATTAAAATGTACCACCAGAGAAAACCACCATCACTAAAAGACCAGAAGGAGGGAAAGAAGTAAGAGTTGACCACAAAACAATCAGAAAAGAAAAAACAAAGTGGCAGGAGGAAGTCCTTACTTATCAATAATAGCATTGAGTGTAAATGGATTCAATTCTACAAAAAAAGACATACAGTGGCTTAATGGATTAAAAAAAATGACCCAACAATCTGTTGCCTACAAGAAGCACATTCAATTATAAATACAAATGTAGACTGAAAATAAAGGAATGTAAACATATATTTCATGAATATAGAAACCAAAAATGCAAGGGTATTTATAATTATATGAGGAAAAATAGCTATTAAGATAAAAATATAAAAAGACACAAGTATGGTCATAAATAATAATAAATAGATAAATTCAGCTAGAAGATATATCAGTAGTAAATATTATATATATATATATGTATATATATATATATATATATATATATATGCACTCAACACTGGAACACCAAGATATATAAAGGAAATTTTATCAGAGCTAAAGAGAGAGATAGATCCCAATACAATAATAGCTGGAGACTTCAACATTCCACTTTTAGTGTTAGGCAGATCATCCAGACAGACAATCGAACAAAGAAACGTTGAACTTAAATGGCACTGTAGACCAAATGGACCTAATAGATATTTACAGAACATTTCATCCAATGGCTACAGCATATGCATCGTTCTCCTCAGCACATGGATAATTCTCAAGGATAGACCATAAGAGAAGTCGCAAAAAATGTTGTAAAACTTTTCAAAAATTATTATAATAGATATTAAATCAAATATCTACTCTGATGAAAATAAAATAAAACTAGGAATCAATACCAAGATAAGTTTTAGAAGCGATACAAATACATGAAAATTAAACAATGTGCTCCTGAATGACTAGTGGGTCAATGAAAAAATTAAGAAGAAAATTTAAAAATCTTTGAAACAACTGGTAATGGAAACACAACACACCCAAACCTGCCTATGAGATACACCAAAAGCAGTACTAAAAGGGAAGTTTGTATTTATAAGTATCTACCTTAAAAAAAGGAGATAAAACTTCAAATAAACAACCCAATAATGCCTCTTAAAGAACTAGAAAAGCAAGAGCAAACTAAACCCAAAATCAATAGAAAAAAAGAAATAACAAAGAGCAGGCTGGGCACAGTGGCTTACACCTGTAATTCCAGCACTCTGAGAGGCCAAGGTGGGTGGATCACCTGAGGTTGGGAGTTCAAGTCTAGCCTGATCAACATGGAGAAACCCCATCTCTACTAAAAATGCGAAATTAGCCGAGCATGGTGGTGCATGCCTGTGATCCCAGCAATTCGGAGGCTGAGGAAGGAGAATCACTTGAACTCAGGAGGTGGAGGTTGCAGTGAGCCAAGATTGCACCATTGCACTCCAGCCTGGGCAACAAGAGTGAAACTCTGTCTCAAAATAAAATAAATAAATAAATAAATAAATAAATAAATAAATAAACAAACAAATAGCAGAAATAAATGAAATTGAAATGAAGACAAAATACAAAATGAAACAAAAAGTTTTTTGAAAAGACAAACAAAACAGACTGACCTTTAGCCAGACTAAGGGAAAAAAAAGAGAAAAGACCTAAGTAAATAAAATGAGAGTTGAAAAATGAGACATTAAAACTGATACCCCAGAAATTCAAAGGGTCATTAGAGGCTACTATGAGCAACTATACACCAATATATTGAAAAATCTAAAAGAATTGGATACATTCCTAGACACATAAAGCCTACCAAAACTGAACCATGGAGAAATCCAAAACCTGAACAGATGAATAAAAAGTAATGAGATTGAAGCTGTAATAAAACATCTCTAAATAAAGAAAAGGCCAGGACGCAATGACTTCACTGCTAAATTTTACCAAACATTTAAATACCTAATACTAATCCTACTCAAACTATTTTGAAAAATAGAGGAGGAGGGAATACTTCCAAACTTATTTTACAAGGCCAGTATTACCGTGGTATCAAAACCAGACAAAAGCACGTTAAAAAAAAAAAAGGCAGGCCAATATCTCTGATGAACATTGTTGCAAAAATCCTCAACAAAATACTAGCAAATCAAATTCAACAACACATTAAAAAGATTCTTCTTTATGACCAAGAGAGGGTGCAAGTATCGTTCAACATATGCAAAACCAGGGTTTATCCTGGGCATGCAAGGATGGGTCAACATATGCAAATCAATCAGTGTGATACTTCACATCAACAGAATGAAGGACAAAAAACATATAGTCATTTTAATTGATGCTAAAAAATTATTTGATAAAATTCAGCACCCCTTCATGATTTTAAAAAAACTCAAAGAACTGGGCATAGAAGGAACACATCTCAACATAATAAAAGCCACATATGATAGACCCATAGCTAGTATCACATTAAATGGGGAAACACTGAAAGCTCATGATAAGGTAGCCCACTGTCACCACTGTTAATTTAACAAAGTACTGGAAGCCCTAGCTAGAGCAATCAGACAAGAGAAAGAAATAAAGGGCATTCAAATTGGAAAAGAAGTCAAATTATCCTTGCTTGCAGATGATACAATCTTATATTTAGAAAAATCTAAAGACTCCACCAAAAATCTATTTGAACTAATAAACACATTCAGTAAATTTCAGGATACAAAATTGACATACAAAAATCAGTCTCATCTCTGTATGCCAACAGTGAACAATTTGAAAAAGGAATTAAGAAATTAATCCCATTTCCAATAGCTACAAATATAATAAAATATCTAGGAATTAACTTAATCAAGGATGTGAACAATCTCTACAATGAAAACTAAAACATCAGTGAAATAAATTGAAGAGGGCACAACAAATGAAAAGACATTTCATGTCTCTGGATTGAAATAACGAATATTATTGAAATAATCATCCCATCCAAAATAATCTAAAGAGTCAATGCAATGCCTATTATTAATAAAATACCAATGACATTTTTCACAGAAATAGAAAAACCATTTCTAAAACTTATATAAAACCACAAAAGATCCAGAATATCCAAACCTGTTCTGAACGAAAGAGAACAAAACCTTTAGGAATCACATTACCTGACATCAAATTATACTACAGAGCTATAATAACCAAAACAGCAGGTACTGTCATAAAAACAGACACATAGACCAATGGAACAGAAGACAGAGCCCAGAAACAAATTTATACATCTACAATGAATTAATATTTAACAAAGGTGCCAAGAACATACATTGGAAACAGGACAGTCTCCTCAACAAATGATGCTAGGAAAACTGAATATCCATATTCAGAAGATTGAAACTATACCCCTATCTCTGGCCATATGCAAAAAACTAAATCAAAATAGATTAAAGACTTAATCTAAGACATCAAACTATGAAACTAATAAAATAAAACATTGGAGTAACTCTCCAAAACATTGGACTGGGCAAAGATTTCTGGAGTAATGCCCCACAAACACAGGCATCCAAAGTAAAAATTGACAAATGGGAACTCATCAAGTTATAAAGCATCTGCACAGCAAGGGAAACAATCATCAAAGTAAAGAGACAACCCACAGAATGGGAGAAATTATCTGAAACCTATCCATCTGATGAAGAATTAATAACAATAATGTATAAGGGGCTCAAACAGCTCTATAGGAAAAAAAATCTAATAAACCAAGTAAAATGGGCAAAAGATTTGAATAGACATTTTTCAAAAGGCGATATACAAATGGCAAACAGGTATAGAAAAAGATGTTTAACATCATTGATCATCAGAGAAATGCAAATCAAAACTACAATGAAATATTATCTCATTTCAGTTAAAATTGTCTTTATCTAAAAGATGGGCAATAACAAATGCTGGTAAGGATGTGGAAAAAAGGGAACCCTTGTACACTGTTGATGAGAATGTAAATTAGTATAACCACTATGGAGAACCATTTTGGAGCTTCATCAAAAAACTAAAAATTGAGCTATCCTATAATCCAGCAATCCCACTGCTGAGTATGTACCCAAAAGAAAGTATGGAATGGATAAAGAAAATGTGGTACACATACACAATGGAGTACTATCCAGCCACAAGAAAGAATGAGATCTTGTCATTTGCAATAACATGGATGGAACCAGATGTCCTTAAGTGAAATAATCCAGGCAAAGAAAGACAAACTTTGTGTGTTTTCACTGAATTATGGCAGTTAAAAATTTAAACAATTGAACTCATGCACATATAGAGTAAAAGGATGGTTACCAGGGGATGGGAAAGATAGTGGGGTGGAGAGGAAAGTGGGGCTGGTTAATGCATACAAACATAGAGTTAGATAGAATAAATGAGATCTAGTATTTGGTAGCATAGTAGGGTGATTACAGTAAAAAATTAATAGTTTGTTATTGATTATAGTCCAATCAATTTATTATACATTATAAAATAATGAAAAATGTGTAATTGGATTGTTTGTACAACAAAGAATAAATGCTTGAGGTGATGAATACCCATTTACCCTGATGTGATTACTACAAATTGTACACCTGTATCAAATATATCAAATACTCTATGAATATATACACCTACTATATACCCAAAAAAATTAAAAATATTTTTTTAAATAAATTGAATTTTAAAAAAAAGACGCCCCCTCCTGGCAAAAACACGCACGCGCACACACACACACACAAACACACACACACCATCTCTTGGGAAACATGGACATATTTACTCTTTTTTAAGAAGAAAAAGAGACTAGTCAATTATGCCATACAAAAGATTACTTTAAACATTTTAAAAAAGAGGATAATACTGTTAAAGTATCTCTGTATTTTTAATTTTTAAAAATTGTTATTTATATTGCTATTGGAAGAAAAGATTATCTGTTCACCCAATTATCATCAATAAAATCATTTCCTGATTTTCTAAACTCTGTCAATATTTTTTTTCCCACAAGTGTCTAGTTTGATGTGTTAGACCTTTCTGGTAGGGGGTGGGTGGGGGCTGGCCCAAAACCGAATAAATAAGAATGAAAGAGAGAAAGAGAATAGAATGACAGAGGTTGGGAGAAAGGACACAAAACAAAACAAATCTTGGAAAAAAGAGGTTGAACTGTTTATTTGCTTTTAAATGACTATTTATTTTGGTAGAAAGGAAGGGGAGTTGAATAGCCCTTTGACTGGTCCTTGTCCCTTTGTGTCCTTAATTGTTTGCCTTCTTGCAGTAACCAAGGTTAGACTTACAGCAGAAAATGATTTCCTGTCTTGGAAGTAGTTTGAAACAAGTATTATAGAACAGCAAGAAGAAGCTAAGGTGGTTATTTTAAGAAGGGAATTTGAGTCTTAGAGCAAGAGTTTAATTTGAGGGCTTAGTGACATATGGTAACAAAATTATAAGTTTATGTATACTTTGTTTATACATAAATGTAGTATAAAAATATGTCATATATACCAATATTAATAATATATGCTATAGTGGTTTAAGACATATACATATACATGTGTATACATTATGAGTGGGGTATACATACCTATGTATTATCTGTGTGTGTGTTTTTTACTTTATTATTGTTGGTATTTTAAGAGTTCTATAAAGCCCCTTAGATGATAATGGTGAAATAAATCATAATTTAATTGATAATTCATTTGAAGGTTAACTTACTAACTACAGTTTCTTGAAAAATAAATAAAACTTTCCATTAGACAATGAAGTTAATATGATGACTTAGATTCAGATTATTTTATAGCAAATGCTCACATTCAAATATCATATGTTGATTGATAACATTACATTTGGTGACAAAATTTTTTTTCAGAAAAGTTTAGTTATAAACTGGGTAGGTGGCCTATTACATGATTGTATGATACACTTTCATTTCTCTAAGTGATAACCTTAAACAATTTGGACTATTTCTTTTCTCCTATCTCTTACACTACATATACAATGGTATAGTTGGCCACTAATTGGGGACATATTATTTGGAACAATTGCATCGAAATGAATAAAAACTAAGGATTACAACATGCCAGTGCTTAAAATTATTATTTTTCCTTGTTCTTATTTTACTAGAAAAGCTTTCCCAGTTGATGGTCATGTACTACAAAAGACTTAAGCAATTATTAGTATTTCCTTATGGATTTAGATTCCTTGAGGGAGCATTGTGAAGAGGAAACATAAAGTCTAAGCTCTGACACTTGTCATTGTTCAATATCTCCTGATATTGCTGATGCAAGCAAAGTTGTTAAACTGTTTTCCTATCTAATTTCCAGTTTCTATTATAATGGTCTGCCCACCCAAAATCCTCTTGTACATTCACAGGAATTGTTTTTATATTTTCTTTTGTATACTGCTATACAGCTCCAGTGCTTTGCATTGTGTTATATGCTGTTAACTTACATAGTTTTAATCTAATAGAGAAAGTTAGTTTGTTTTACAGCACTGTTCAATATTATGCCTTTAAGACATTAAATTGATTAAGTTCTCAGAAAACTTAAGGGGTGTTAGTATTATCTTGTGGCCAATATATTAAATTTTAAAAATGTCATCATTTAAGTAAATGTATGTTTAAATATTGTTTATAAAAGAAAGTACCCTTCACTTATTCATATGCTTTTTAGCATAGAGGAGGAATTGCGTTTTACCTTGTGCTTTACTTACATTAGATATCCTTAAGAAGCCTAAGTATTTATACCATGACCTCTTCAGGAATACTAGACTCATTTTATTTATGACATTTTACTGTATAACAACTCATGAAAAAATTATTACTTTAAAACAACTATATTTTAGTTTGTGCTGTGACTTGGAAATTGAAGATAGGTTCAGCAAGGCATTTGGCCAAATCAGGCCAGGACTGGCTGATCTCAGCTTGGCTCACTCATAAAGCTCCATTAAGCTCCTGGGCCAGCTGTAGGTTGGATCTCTGATCCTCCAGCAGCCTAGGCTGTTGTTCATATGGCTGTCTCAGAAACCCATGTGTGACAGCAGGAGCACATAAAGTACAGGTTTAGATACAACAGCAATTCCACCACATTGCTATTGGCCAAAACTGAATACAAGGCGAATTCAGATACCAGGGAAGGAAAAATTGGCTCCAGGGATGAATTATAATCATTATTTGTAGTACACCACAATTACCTTCCTCTCTTTCTGGTCTTTTATGTGTGCACTAGAGGGATGGATCAGAGAAAAAGCTTTAGGAGAAGGTATTGAAGACTTTCAATATTTTATTACTTTTGAAGAAGTTTATAAAAACAGTAAAAGTGTTAGTGACAGTTTATTAAAAACATAGACTATTAAGGAGATTTATTTTCCATATTTTTTCAAAAGGATTTTACCTTACGAGAGCCATTCCCAGGCTTACAGGGACCTCCAGGGCTCACAAACGAAGGAGCACAGACTGCATATCATCACAGTCCAGCATATTTTGTCGGCAGTTCCAGGCAGCTACACATGAACTGAACCCAAACCTGGGAGCAGACCATTGCTCCCAGACATCATATAAGGAGCTTTTGGTGGAGAGCAGGGCAGGGAGGGGTAATTGCTGACTGCTAGCTGCACATGGCTATGGATTATTCAACAGAAATAGCTTGTGCCCATACCAAGCAAATCACTAAGCCCTATTTCAGCTGTTTTGTGTACCAGGTATAATCATAATCTCTCTTGAAATCATAATCTCATAGGGCCATATTCTTATCTCTGAGACGGGTTATAATATTTTAGAGGATGAGAATCCAGGCCCTTGAATTTCAGTCTTACTACACAATGATAAAGTATGCCCATATTACATGATTATTTAACATTTAAATTGTATTTCTGCTCTCCTTTGTGTTTAAAAATCTTAGCTAGTTATATGGGTTCTTTGTTATTTCCTTCTCAGTGTTTAACAGAGTCATTTGTTAAATGTGCTAATTCCAGTAAAGTTAAAGAGTATTAAAAAAAGGTATACTATAGTAGAAGCAAGCATGGCTAGCTAGGCAGAATGTAGTATCTGCTTCTGTTCTTTGGAGGTCATCAATGCCAAAAGGAAAAGGGAACGTAGAGGAGAAAACAAGGTCACTTGATTTGTCATTTGGAGAAAATTGACTTTATTAGGTTGCTTAATGTAATCAAACATAACACAATTCTTTTCCTTCATTCAAGGACTTCAACAGACTCTTCAAGCAGATAAGTGCCTATAAAAGTTTGGTAAACTGTAGAAGAATCTCCATTATAAACTCCATTTTGGAGCTGTTTTCTGATGAACTCTATTGGAAAAAAGTATAAAGAGTGAAATTTACAAAGTAATGAAATACAGCAATCCAATTAAAATTAACATCACTTTCCTTCATCAAGTAGGAAAATGAAACAGTCTATAACAGATAGCTTAACAGCATGAGACACCATCAAAAGCTAGATATAAGTGAGGAAGCAGTAGCAATGCTTACTCCATGTAAGCAAGGGTACAGATACAGTGATAAGAGAATTTTGCGTTTAAACGATCTCTTACTTTGTGAAAACTTTAAAAAATAATAATTATCATTCTTAGAATTCTTCCTAAATGAAGAAAAGTATAAGGAAATTATCCTGGTCTTAAAATTAAACCCAGACTAAGTTAATAGATCCAATGTGCTTTGTAATTTTAAATCTTTGGAGTTTGAAGCTAGTGCCAATTACCTATTTAATATTTGGAGAAATTTAAAAGTATCTGTAAATTCCTTGAGAACATATGCTTTAACCTACTTTGGAAATAGATGAATGCGTGACTTTTAACATGAATTTATGTTGTAAAATTCCAAAAGACTTACAAGAACTACTAAGCTTATCTCATATTGGGGGAACATTCCTGAAACAATAATGAAAAATATTCTTTGATGATTTACAGCAAAAGAAAACTCTCATACTTTTTGTGTATATCTCTAAGGAATATAATTTGACATCATGATGAAAAAATTCTCTCTTGTTCTGTCACTAATGATTATGCACTGAAAATTGGTCTTAAATGGGTTCTGCAAAGCATCATTCTGCAACTTATTTCATTTTTCAAGGCTTGAACTTCAAATAAAAAATTTAAGTTTTGGTTTTGCCAAGTAACTCACTTACCTTTTCCCTGTTTTCTACTTTTTAAAGTTCTGATGTCTGTTCTACTTCCTTTCGCAGTTCCAAGACTAAAATAACTAGAAATATCCTTAGACATTTTGAAACTGTACAAATATATAGAATTTCGGTTACTTAATATAACATTCTTTTAATTATGAAATTGCACTAAAATTTCTTCACAGCTCTCGTGGTGCATTGATTTCTCAAGATATTTATTTATTCTGGAGGCACCCAACCAAGAAATTCTCAGCTCTGTAGATTTTTATCCCCAAAGTCACCTTTGCAATCTTCCCATAAAACTAATGTAATAAATTGTTTTCTTATGCACCTTTTTATTGATAGAATAAATAAATATTTCCATTGATATAGTGAAAAACATAAAATCAGGTTTTTAATACAGGAACAATATAAATAAAAAGCAGGTCAAAATTAGTAGGCAGTGAGATGGAAACGAATCACAGTACTAGGAGTCAGGACACCCACAGTTTCCACTCAGTGTAATGACCTTCAGCAACACACATCACTTCTCTGAAGTTATTTCCTCTTTTCTAATATGGAAAGGTTACCCTTGATAATTTTAAGGTCTCCTCTAATGCTACATTCTATGAAGCTTTACATCGTTTTCTCACAATGCTTCATATTTTGTTGACACATCAGCAGGGAACTTCACACTTCATTGGAAACCCATTAAAACAATTACCATGTCATTAGTGAAGACTTTTAATTACGAGCTTAGTAACCTAAA
>NW_013171799.1:0-90922 GCF_000001405.40 Homo sapiens | reverse complement strand
GAATTCACTTGAGATTAAAAAACATATATATCTATATATGCGTGTGTGTGTGCGTGTGTATATATATATATATATATATATATATATATATAAAATTCCCCTTAGCCTTATAATGCTTCCATTTCCTTTTCAATGTCCTCTTTTTACGTTTCCCTTCACTTTTACTATAACCCAGGCTAGCAAAAAGAAAAACTGAGATAATTAACAGTGCCACAATGAACATTTTGTCTAACATGTTTAAAAAGCCTTTTGAAAAAAAAAAAAAGACTGGGAGAAACAACAATGAAAAACTTTTATTATCCACTGGTAACAGTTAATAATCTTGACTTTATCTTGTATTGGAGTTTCTAAGAGTTTTCTTTCTTGAGAAGCCAAGGAGATAAACAGGAAACTTCTTAATCATAAGCTGCTGGCTTCTATTCTAAATGGTGGATCTAAGACAAACCACTGAAACTGCCAGCATAACAGTGAAAAAGACCAAGACCCTATACAAAGATACTCAAAAAACTAAGCTGAACTTTGGTTAAAAGGAAAAAAAAAAAAGAAACTCAAACAAACATCCCCAAAAACCTGACATACAACTATAAGTTTGTATGAGGAATTACTATTAGCACACATAATCAACAATCACTAATATCCCCTCAGCTTCTCAAGCTCCTTAAAATTAAGGAATTAAAAAGACAAGGAATTCTTTTTACAAGAAAAATCCATAAACAGAAAAAAATAGTTAGATATGTGGTCAGTATTATCAACTTAGCCCCACATCACCACCTCCCTGCCAATAAGGAAGTTTATAGTTTTTAGGCCAAATCTTGAAAGAGAATTCTAACTTGGCTTTATAGAATTAAAAATGGCGAAAATTTACAAAGTAATCCATGATTTTGATTCAATGAGAGATTTTGAGCCAGAATAAAATAGTTAAGCTGCTCCTGAATTTCTGACTCACAGAAACTGTTTAAGGTAATAAATATTTATTGCTGTTTTTAAGCTGCTAAGTTTTGAGATAATTTATTATGTAGCAATAGATAAATAGTAACTGTCATGA
Source organism: Homo sapiens (assembly GCF_000001405.40). Lineage (NCBI taxonomy): Eukaryota > Metazoa > Chordata > Mammalia > Primates > Hominidae > Homo > Homo sapiens. The sequence continues at coordinate 89,877 of NW_013171799.1, read as the reverse complement.
CTCAAATAGACAATTTGGTAGATTTTCACCACTGATATAAATGACAATGTGATATATTGTATAAAAATATATAATAATTGCTTTTTTTCATTTTATACACAGAATATGTACAGACAAAAACAAGTATGCTAATGAAATTTCTTCAAATACTACAAACAATTAGTGAAGACTGCTACTATAGGGTAAGTGGGCCGGTTCTTTTCCCTAATTTGTCTCAACTTCTATGAAAAGCTATTTTTCACCTCAGAGAAGCTACTATAAAATACTCCCCCCCCTTTCAAAACCCTATGACAGTAGAAGAAAAATAGAGAAAGGAGGTTAACTAGGGATAATTCTAGGCTGGAATCACTGCAAATTGTGAATACAAGTATTCCAAGAAATATTTTTAGTATTTTTGTACTTGAAAGAATTCTAGAAAAGTGACTAGTGTATACTTTTAGATCCATCCTTCATTCTCTGGTGAACTGAAGCATGTCTCTAAATAGTAAATTTTCCTTAAATTGTAAGTCAAGGGAGGTGAGTTCACATTAAGCAACAAAGGAAAAATATGGCATTTCATAAAAACAAAGATTCTCATTAATAAATGTGTAAGAGAGTTTTATATTGGATATAGGTGCTACTTAGGTTTCACTTTCATATAAAAACTAGTAAGATAAGCAAATTGGTGTATAATATAAACATATATTTTTTTAAAAAGTCACCTACCCTTAAGAGGATCATGCTCTGCTCTCATAATATCGATAAGGGAATTTTCCAAAGAGTGCATATTCAAACTGTCATACATTCTACTTCGATCCTGGAAGAGAAGAGGAAAAAAGACATTATAATCTATGCAGTTTTTTCAAAAAGCGATTATAAAACACTATCTAAATTCTCTTACATAAAATAGGACTTCTGATTATTACTAATTAATCTGTATCCCACAAAAATACCAATAACTAAAGATCTCATGAACTACAATGTTCCTTGCATTGGAGGACATTATTTTCAGTATATTTATCTCTTAAAGCTTTTATCAAAAGTAATCTAATTTTACTGGCAATACTAATGCAAAACAGTAAAATAATTTCTATAGTTACTTTTCTCTATAAAGTTTCCTGAAATCTTATACACACAGAAAGCATTTTTTGGTTAATTTCAAAACTTTTCTCACATATTTAGGAAGACAGATAGTGGCACATAGAAAATAAATATTTGGGAGGAAATATTTTAGTTCCATAATTGCACCATACTTTAAACATCTATCAAACATTTTGTTATCTGACATAGTAGTCTGAATTTAATAATGAGTGCATAAACATCTTATACGGTAAAAATCAAAAGCATAAGATACTAATAACCAGAACAGGGACTAATGCCTAGAATATTCAGATTCATATATTACTCTCTAAAGTGCTTCCATATTTGTCTCTGCATTTTTAAGCCGGCCTCCCCCAACTCCCCTGCAAAATAGGCAGGTGGAGGAGAGAAGAGTAAAAGCACAGTAATCTCATTAAGTCTGCTACTTCACCAAGTCTCCAAAGTCTTGTTATCAGAATCTTCTTTGCTGAATGTTCAATCCCTTCACTTGCTTATTTGAAAGAATCTGACTCTTTAATGTCCATAAATTTCTACTGTATTCTGTTCAATACATACTCAGTGTACCTGAAAAAAGGTATGTGGTGAACTACTAGAGGAAGCTCTGGCCCATGCCCTCCAAATAATCTAGGAGTCTTCCCAAAATACTCACCCACCCAGTTACATATGTGTATACACGCATGTGTAAGCTTATGTATACGTGGGGGATACAGGATAGTCCATTCTAAACTCTCAAAAAATGACTGTCACAGAAAATGGAAAGGAAGAATCTGAAAATTAAGTGGAAATAAAAGCCCCCATAGAAATCAAAATAAGGCACTTATTAACCTGGGTCCATTAGCTTCAAGAGAGACCAGAAGTCTCTGAGATTATATGTAATATACTGTTCATAGGTGTACAGTAGTCCCCCCTTTCTGCATTTTGCCTTCCACGATTTCAGTTATCTGTAGGACAATACAATAAGATATTCTGAGAGACAGAGATGCCACATTTACATAATTTTTATTACATTGTTATAATTGTCCTACTTTACTATTATTGTTGTTAATCACTTACTGTGCCTAATTTATGAATTAAACCTTATCATATGTCTTCATTGGAAAAAAACAGCATATGAAGGCACTATTTGCAGTTTCAGCCATCCACTGATTGTCTTGGAACGTATCACTCATGGATAAGGGGGGACTAGTGTGTACATAATTTCTTTTTTTCCCGAAGAAAAGGTTTATAGCTTTCATCAGTTTTCCACAGGAGTCCACAATCCAGAGAAGATTCAGAATCAGTTCTTTAGAAAGCTGAAGAAAAACCTAAAAAGCTTTTCTAAGAATATGTTCATTTATTTACTTTACTTTGATGTTTAAATTAGGGTTGTAGCCTTTTTAAAGCTAGGGGTTCAGAATCAGTACTGTAGACTAAGTTGCTGTCAGGGATTTAAAAAGGTAAAAAGTAACACTGAATGACGGAAGGAATGCTAGACTGGAGGCTCTTATTCCAGCTTTATCACCAATTAACTCTATCAGTACTCTTTACTGATTTTTACTGAAAGGCCCCTGAGGTAAAACACATGCATCAATAACAGCTGCTCTCTAGAACAGTGACCTTGATTAGTGATGGAGGCACAAAGAATCAATGAGCTGTAACAGTGGTTCCTAAACTTGAACATGCTTCAGAATCATCTGGAAGGCTGGTTAAACACACAGACTGCTGAAACACATCAAATTCAGTAGGTCTGGAGTGGAACCTGAGAGTATGTATTTCTAACAAGTTCCCAGGTGATACTGATTCTGCTGGTCTGGATATCACACTTTATAAGAAGCAATTAGTTTCTTCGTCTGAAGTCACTAAATCTCTCTAGGCTCTGGTTCTAACTCCTAGAAAATAATCATGTCAGACTAGATGATGCCTATAGTCTCTTTAAAAATTCTAGAAAAGAAAAAGACTCAAAATACTCTAAAATAAATGAAATATTAATAAAACTGAAACAGAGAATAGGATGGCCCATATGGGCAAAAATGACATATTAATTTTAGGAATCTATCCAGATATTTCCATCTTCCCTGTGCTTCCACTATACTGTGTTCATAACTAATTTGTTGATTTTCCTGTCTGTCCCACTAAACTTCTAAGTTGATTAAGAATAGGGACTATCTAATTACAGAATATAGTTAGTTCTCATGTCTGTTGAATGAATACTTCTTTATCTCTACCATAAAAACTCAATAAAAAATGTAAAAAAAAAGTCGAGTTCTGTAAGGAGAAAGACTGTACTTTTTAAATAGTAATGGTAAAGGACTATAAAACTTTCTCAGAATCCTCAACGGAACAGGTAGTCAAATGTTAATTGACTAAACTGAGACAAGCATCAGATTAACGTGGCTTGCTATGAACCTGAATTTCCAACCACCCAATGGAAGATTAAGTACCACAATACTGAAAGTTCCCAGATGTATTTAAAATAGAATTATAAAATGTAAGCTGTAATGATAAAAGTTAATGTTCATATAATTAAGCAAAAAATCCCTCTGCAGGTGTGCCATATCATGAAGGTTCTAAGAGTATACTGTAAATACTTTAAAATACTTTATTATCTTCCTTACCCTAAATCCTCACAAAGGAAATATATTACAGTTCATGGTTATCTTTTTAGGTTGTTAACTTTGAACAGAATCAACCTATGCCCAGTCAACCGATGACCTTAATTAATGGTAACTATTAAATCACCCAAACAATATTTCCCAAGTAACTTCCTTTTTCTGGAGGTGTAGGGGAAAGTACCCTCTACCTTCATTGCAAGAGGTGTGATCTTGCTCTATAGCATGGTAAAATTATTGCTCGGGTCATGGACAATATTTAAAGTATGAAAGAGAAACATCCTTAAACTAACTATAAATATCAGTGACCACTATATAATCAATTTTGAGAGGTGTTATTCAAAAAGGCTGCATGTATTAATAACTTCAGCTTGAATGTCTGTATCTAACTGAATCAGTGAGATGCCTACTTATAAGGTCTCTTATTTTCCTTTTTCTGTTAAGTATTTGATCCTAAACTCCTACTCTAGGAAAGAAAACAGCAAAGCTATTTTAAAATGATTAGCTTGGTTGTACTTTGTAAAGCATCAGCTGCATCCCATGTGATTTTTAAAGCAACAAACATAAAACAGCCTTGAGCAACCAAAGAGCACATGACATCTCAAAATTGCTTTTTGAATTTAATGAAACCTATAGGCTTACATGCAAAAGATATTGATAATTCCATTAAATAAATTGCAGGAATTAAAATATGACTTCTGAAAAAACAGAAACAAATCTGGTTATAAAACAAACACTCATGCATTCTTCTGAAATACAGACATTAGGAAAAATTGTGTTCATGCAAACTGCCATCAGTTTGAAAACTAAATAGAAGAACTAAGGCAATTTTCAAGTTACCATGAACGCAACAATACTAATTATCATTAATAAATATGGAAAATCATAGCAATGTAATTTACATTTATTACTATAAGGTTATTTGAAAGCACCAAAATACTTCAGAAATATAAGACTCTATGAGGAAAAGTGTGCATGCAATCTATTCTAAAATATAAAAACTATCTGGCAAACAATCAACTAAATGGGCTTTCAGAAACAGATTACAGAATCTCACAATAACTAACAGAATAAAATGATTAGAAAACATTGTTGGAAAAGGCATAACCTCTTTTATTATAATATTTATTTCATGGTTTTTCTTAAACCCAGACATTTGCCACAAACACTTACAGGAGTATCAATAAAAGCTTAGAAAGGCTGAAAAACACAGAAAAGAACAAAGTAATCCAAATCTTGAAAAAAGATAACCTAAGAAAAGATTATAAACACTGAAAAATAACTAAGGAGGTCAGTGTACAATATTAGAAGCAGTATGACAAAGGGAATTCAAACTTAATCACAAGAGAACTTTTTGAAGAGATATTAATTTTTTTTGCTGGGATACATTAAAAACCCTGTTTTATTTTTAAAGAAGTGGTCAATTAGAAACTTCTCCTCTTGAAAATGAGGTACTCTTCCAAAGAAAAATAAGATTATAGAAAACCCCTATATTCTTATATTTAATGATTTAGCAGATGCTTGAACATGTATTATTCTGCTTAACTAGAAAGATCAGCTTTTATTGTACTTACAATGCTTGTGTTTAGTTCTCTAATTTTTACTTTAAAATAAAGCAATGTAGTGCTAATATTGTCCTTAATTTTAAGTAGATATTGATCATACTTTCCTGTTACACAATGTTATCACACCATACTCAGTAGCAGATGACGTGCTACTCTACTGCATAACGTAGTACTCAATCTCATAAGCTCTCTTCTCATTCTCTAGTTGTTCTACATAGATAACCCTTATTCATCTAACTAGACTCTTACCTTCTCCAAGACAAAGAATAGTATTTTTTATCCATATATTCTAAGGGTAATTAAAACACTAACATACAGAATGAATGAAGATACATTTCTTTTATTTTCTTTATTAATTTCGAACCTCAATAAAGTGTGTTAGCCATTCTCAGAAAAAAAATAAACAAATGTTTTAAAAGGCCAAAGCTATTCTAGTACTCACAAGAATTAAAATAGACAAGTGGAAAACATTTCAAGAACAATTAAAGCACTGAACACAGAATAGGAAACAAAAAGAAGGCATCCATTACTTAAGCTGTAATACAAGAGTCCATTCTTTTCCATTTTCAGTGGGCATGTAACAGTTTGATGACTATGAATGTCCCTGAAGTTCATCTGGTTTACAAACCACTATTTAAGAAATGCTTTATCAGATAAACAAATTGGGTTTGGTATGCAACTATATACTGTTTTTTTGTGTGTAAGGTGAGTAAAGATTCAAATAATATTTTTTCTGAGACAGATCTCCAAATTATGATTTACCACATTATCATAACAGCCTATTAAAGATTAATGGAAAGTATCTTCAATTAATTCAAGGTAGTTTATTATGTGACATGCTCAAGCACTGCAAGTAGAGCTTGTGGAAGAGCAAAAATTGAGAGTTGATATATTGATAATTCCCCAGGTGGAAGGCAGGCGGACATGCACGTACATGCTTCACACACTCAATTACTGTTCCAAGACATTACTTTGTTTACAGTGAGCTGATATGTCATATGTAAACTTGTAAGTAATAATAACCTCACTTAAAGGATATTTACTCTTTGATTTAAAACATATGAATAAATATAGCGTAACCTTAACATTAAACTGAAAACTCCTATTTTTTTGGGAAGAGGGGGTGGTGTCTTGTTATGTTGCCGAGGCTGGACTCAACTCTGGGGCTCAGGCATTCAATCCTCCTGCCTCAGCCTTCCAAGTAGTGCACATTGCTGGATCTGGCTGCAAATTCCATTGTAATATAATTTAGAATTCAAACTTTTGAGTACGATTCTCGCAAGGGTAACTAGCTAATGACATTTTAAAGTACAGTAATTAATAACCCTAAGCAAATTCATGTAGATATACTGGCCAGGCATGATGGCTCAAGCCTGTAATCCCAGCACTCTGGAGGCCGAGGCGGGCGGATTACATGAGATCAGGAGTTTGAGACCAGCCTGGCCAACATGGTGAAACCCTGTCTCTGCTAATAATATAAAAATTAGGCGGGTATGGTGGTGCATGCATGTAATCACAGCTACTGGGGAGGCTGAGGCATGAGAATCGCTTGAACCCGGGAGGCAGAGGTTGCAGTGAGACGAGATCGTGCCACTGCACTTCAGCCTGAGTGACAGAGTGAAACTGTCTCAAAAAAAAAAAAAAAAAAAGAAAAGAAATTCATAGAGATATGTATGTAATACTCATTTTAAAGTCAGAAATGTTTATAATAATTTATATTTGCTTTTAGAAAGTTTTAAATTTGAGGGTTTTCTATTTTTAAAAAATCTTATTTAAAATAAAATTCCAACCCACAAAATTTTACATATTAACAGAAATAAAAATCAACCTACAAAACTAGCTCTTTCTTATTTATTGAATTCGATTACGTGTTCAGCTCTTGACACAGGTAAAGCCCGCGGTATCCAAGTATAAGAATTAAGACTTCAGTTCTAGAATTTTGTATTATATTCTAGGCCCCAATCAGTTTGAGACTAAAGGAAATAAAAAGTAAAATGTTGTAAAATAATGTACTTGTTAACAAAAATATACTAGAATTACACTGTATATGATGATAAAAGGTCAGAAATGCAGATAATCTCCTCAGACATTTAAGTGACTAAGAATCTTCTATAATTTTAATTTTGCCAAAGAATGAGAAACTACCCAACATTTTAAGATATCAATTTCATTTTGTAGCTGCTGCTGTATTTTTAAGAGGCTCAACTTCAAATACTTCAACCTTTTATGGAAAGATGGAAACACACAACAAACTATGTGTAAGTACTCTTAGGGTACTTAGAGGAGACAATGACACTGCTTTTAAGTCCAGTTGAAAGGTCACATACTACCTCCACTGCCTTAGACTAATGCCTAAGACCCTTTGCTCAAAGAAACCAAGAGGCTTGTATTCTAAAAATAGAGGCAAGGGGGGTGGGGCAGCATGGAGGAAAAGAAATGGCCAAAACAGATCAGAGAAAGTGTTAAAAGCTGGCTGGAAAGGCCTTAAATGACCCAGTTCAAGGTCCCCCTTTTACAGATAAGGAAACTGTGACCCAAAGAGATGAAAACCTATAAACTATGTCATTCAATGTCATAAAGATTATGAGGAAGAGGAAGAAGATCCAAGTTTCAGGCCTTCTTTCCTTCCAGTTCCATTCACTTTCCATTATCTCTTTTTTCCCCCACCACTGTGTTTTACTTCATCACATCACACCTCTGGCTCAAAAGTCCAAAGGGAATGCCAATATCTCAGCAGTTTACCAGATAAGTTTATCTTTAAGCACCAAAATCATTTTTCCTAAAATAAATTTCCCTAAAATCTTAGGTTATAATACAGGTAAAAGCAGAATAGCTTTGATTGAAGTCTAAGTGGGAGGGCAGCCCCGGAGGCTGGTGTGAAAGCTTCCCTTTCATTATCACCCCTATCTCCTCTCTAGCATCCCTCCAACTGAAATCAACTCAATAATCTGATTTCTCAACATCTGTCCCTGCCTCATGGACCATGTATGCCAGCTAATTTGTATTCTTTTCCATGGATACTTATTTCTCCTATATATGTATCCTATATATGTATCCATCCTATTGCTTCTTTCTGCACAGAGTAATTATGTCCTCTTCTATTTGAAAACATTTCTCTTGCCACCTTCAAAATAATTACATTAATTTTCTTCTCCTAAACATACCATCTCCTAGGCATTCATGTATTGAATTTAAATACAAAAATGCTACCATAAAAACGTCACTAATAAGGCTTAACTGGACCAGACTAGAGAAGAGAGTAGAGGTAAATAGCTAACTTATATTAACAAGACAATACGTTGCAAATTGCATGAAGTAACTACCATTTCTAGGTGAAGACCCTGGCAGGACTACTTTGGAAAACAGGCAGGACTTGGCTAAAACAATTGTTAGTGGTTGATTATCAAAATTAATGCTAACCTTCTAGATTAGAATGTTACTTACAAACGTATTATTAATCTGTTTATGTCCTTACTTGTAAAATCATCTCATGTTGATAAATTAACCAAGGAAGAGACTTAGAATAACATAGCTCCATTCATATAACACACACAACGTTAAGTCTATGCTCATTCAAACTTGAGCTCTGTAAGAAAGAACCTGCATATATAAGGACTGAGTTTTCTATAACCTATAATAATCCTCACCACCTGGTACCTAGTATACATTCAAATTCAGTTTGCAGGAAGAAAGATAGCATTTTGTAACCACCAAAGGTGTAAATGTAATTTGATTAAGGCTAACTCCCAGCTTTTTGACTAACGGTTTCTCCATAGGAAACTGATTATTTGGAATAAGTCAGGGTATAAAAGCAGTAACAAAATTTAGAATACTAGGCTATATATTTTTTAATAAAGGTGAAAAAACTGAACCAAGAGAAGTCTTTTTTAGAAATATATCTCAAAACAAATACAGACTTCATGACAAAAATTTACTGAAAAGTTCTATGAAACATCAAATATAAAGCTAGATGTTAAGTAAACATATGATTTTGTACCTAATTGCATTTAATTCTGAAAAGAGATACAATCTGCTTAGTTTGACTGATGTTTAAAGTCAGGTGCTCTTGTGTATATAATTCCTTTTTCCAAAAAAAGTTTATTATGTTTTAGAATTATAAAAGGATTACTCTTAAATTTGAAAATAAAAAATTTCTTACATTAAATAGTTCAAAGCAGGTGATCCTTAAAAAATAAATTGCTTCAGTGTCCTCTAACATATGTTTCAATAGGTATAATAAGAAAGTAAATAATAAATCCTACTCATAATATAAATACTAAACTCCTAACCGAAATCCTAAAAAGTATACACTGTGCAGCCTACCTGGTCTATTCTGGATGTTCCGGCTGCAGTGCACCAACTATCTTGGAGTGAATCTGAGCCCCAAGCTGGCAACTGCAAACTAGATCTCACCTTCAATAGCATAGAAGTTTTCATCAGAAATGAGCAGTTGTCTTCCCCATACCCACCCAACGAAAGAAAGAAAGAAAACAAAAAATAAAGCTCTATCTTAAATCCTCATTCCATCCTCTAAAGGTTTAAGAAAAAAACAAAACAAAACAAAAACCTCACTTGCAATAGCCATAAGGGAACTTCAAGAAAATAATAAAAATACTGAAAGAAAAAAAAAGTCTAATCAACGTATTAGGCCACATTTAGAAAAAATAATCGGTGAATTAGTGAAGATAAATTTAAATTAGATGCAAAAAAGCCCTAATATTATTTTGCCACAATCACAGCTGTACTAAGTATATTCTAATATATATACAGCCAATTATAGTCAATTCTAAGAACAGTTACAATTACAGAACATATTAGCTTAGCTATATTAAAGGAGAAACAAATTTTGGTGGCCCATTAGAATTTATAAATTAAAGCATTCTTAAAGAGCTGCTAATTGAAAGCTTCAGTATGTATTTAATAAATACAAAAGGTTTTTCTACGTTTTACTAAGCTTATTTTCCATTGCGTGTTTAGAGAATTATTTTACATTCTCAATTTTCTCTGTATAGATATTTTAACCTTTGTTAATTAAATTACATGCTTAAAAATTAAAACTTTATTTCAAAAAATGTTAATTTTAGCATACCACTACCACCACCACCCAACTCCCTATTTTGAAAGATTAACATTAGAGATAAGGTCATTTACATACCATTCTTACCTGTAAGGGTAAGAGTGTATTACTATTGTTGTCTGTTCTGAACACATTATCTTCAATCCAAGATTTTGGAGTCAGTGATGGAGTTGAGCGAGTAAATTTCGGTGGTGCTATGACATTACCAGAAAACGGTTTCTTCAATGGAGATATCTGATTCATAGTTCCTGGGATTCCCATGTTTCCGGTTCTACGATGATCTCTGCCATGCATTGCTCCCCAGGACATACTTCCAGTGCCCCAGCCACTGCTCTGATGGTTGCTCCAGGGAGACTGTTTCAGAAGAGGCTAGGGAAAACATAGCTATTTAAATTGCGGCATTTAAAGAATTTACAATTCAAATTCAAATTCAAATTTCAGACCTAAGAATTTATATGAATGAAATATATAAAGGCAAAAGAATACATCTTTTCTAGGTTATAAAAGTAACAGTCTTGAGATCTTTCTATGTGAAATCATATTTGATGCTGGTCAAGTTTTCATCTTCTTGTATACTATAAATATCATGATATTTTATGACAGTTACTAAAATAGAACCATGCAGTTCCTTTTTATCCTTCAGAGATAACTGTATACATGATAAATATGAAGAAAAAAATTGAAATTAACTCTGAAGATTCTTAAAGATATAACATACATGGTGATCTTAAAGCAACCATATTAATTATGCTAGGCACACAACTAAAAATATGGTCTTTGTTAATTAAAATATCCTACTCATACAAGTGAAATATATAGACTTTATGTTTCCAAAACAAGTTGCACTACTACAAAAGTGGGAATTACTCTTGTACAAATTAAAATCGCCTTTTGAAATAAGGACAGTATAGAAACTATGTCATTTTTCTGCATTGTTTATTTAACTGTTAAGGCATTTTATTCCAGTTTTAGCATAGTTTGTCTTAATTGTTTTTATTTCACTTAATTATCCATAAACTGTGAAGCAATTATCTGATGTTGCCCATAGGTGGATCCACTGAGGTATACTGCTAATTAACTATATGCTTTGATTATTCCACTAGAGATCTTGATACAAGTCTCCATCAAGTTGATTCATTTTCAAAAGTAAATTACATCCTAATCTCAAACCTGTGGCAAGACAAGTCAAATCATCAAAGAATGGTAAATCCATCAAAACGCTAATAATTGTAGTTTTGGGTTTTTTTTTTTTTTAAGAAGTATTCATTGCTGGTAATTCTACTGTCAGTAAGTTTATACTTTAATACTTTGGTGTTAAGATGTAGCTAAAGAAGTATGAACCATACAGTTACTACAAATAAATATGGTTCTCTTAAAATTGAACCTGCTTTTTGTAAGACAATTAAAAGAGAAACTCCTGATCTACAGCACCAATTTTTAAACACTTTTAAATGCTAACATAATCATGAGTATATTATTACTCTTTCCTCTTCCACAGAGGTCCAAAGCATAATTACAGAGCCATGGACAAACCACTTCATTCTTGAGGGCCTTACTCTCCTTATTAAATGATTTAATGCTCAAAGTTATCTTCCAGTGATCTAAAATTCCATATGAAAGCTGTGTGACCTCTCACACTCCATGGCTAGACCCATCTTTTGTCCAAAAGCAAATTACAGTTAAATATGGATCATGGTATATGTTCTTCCAACGCTCTGTACCACAACTTTAAGTAAATACAAAATTACCTACAGATAATTTTCTGTGGGCAAGTTTCCAGATAACAAAATGAAGATCCTGAGACACAAAAGACAGTTGCTGAGGGTTATAAAAATCATGAAAAAGTGGAACATTATTTCAAAATCCCTATTTTCAATCCTCATAGGCCACATTCTCTTTTCTAAGAAAGAAATCAGTGATTCAACAAAAACTGTTCACTGTCACTTTGGTTAACTTAGATAAACTGTTAACTTTCACTTGGGTTAATTTAGATAATATTCACTTTAAAAAGACTAATCCTTGAAAACTTTGGTCAACTGAAAAAGTTATGGGGTTAAGGTCATATTTTGCGTCTCTGTCAATCCTTAATCACGAAAATAGAAAATGGACTTAAACAGAATGAACTCTGCAACAAATGCTAACAAGATTCAAAACCAACAAGACACTCTTTCAATGCCAATTTACCAATCTAGCGGTCACCCAAAAATTGTATTGAGGGAATAACAAAAAAGATCTTGAATCAAAAAAGATCCGGAAAATAAAAATTCTGCCCAGTGTCATTTCACAATATTACCTACTTAAAATACACACGGCCCACATATTCCCTTGTAGAAGGTTAAGGCAACCAAAAAATGTACCGAAAGTCTACGAGGAAACACACCAATCCCAGATCCAAGTTCAGTTTTGTCTTAAAACCCACAAAACATGACCCCAACATTGAAAAGCACAGAAACTAAGACATTCGTGGGATATCTCGGTTTGAACCCGAGCGGTCACTAACAGTTTCTCTTTCCCAGTCCTGTGACAGCCAAGGAGGCGGCCCCGCGGGAACCAGGTCCTGCGAGGAGGGCGGTCGGCCGCTCCCTCCCGACTCCCTCCTGGGCCGGCGGCCCAGGGTGCGGCGCTGCCAGCAGGTTGATCGGGCGGAGCTTTGGGAGCGGCTCGACTGACCGCCCGAGGGGCTGAGGCTTCAAGGCGAGATCACCGCCGGCCAAATAAGAATAAACAAACTCCAAAGAAAAAAAAAAGCCTTTCCGCCTTCCCTCATTGGACAGCGAGACAGAGTCTTGGGCTCCTCCGCACGCACCTTCTCCAGCAATCATTTTTCCCCTGCCCAAGTTCACTTCCCACGGCCGCTCTTCCGAGGCCCCCGGCCAGCCCCCGGTCCTCGCCGCGCCTCCCCGCGTCGGGGGTCCGGGGCGGCGGCCCTCCAGGCCCAGGGCACAGGGCGGATCCCGGGGTGCGCCAGCTAGGAGGGCCGGGTTGAGACGCCGCGCCCGGCCGCCCGCGGCCCCGGCGCTATTCGGCCCCTGCCCCAGTCCCCACTGCTGCGCCGGGACGTTCGAGGGGGCGCCCGGCCAGCCGCGGCTCCCAGCGCGAACTCGTCTCCCACGCCCCCACAGCCCACGGTGGCCACTGCCCTCCCAACCCACCGGGGGCTGGGGTTCCGAGTCCTGTCACGGTTGTCCGCCCTCAGTTCCACTCTCACTTGGGCGAGTGGCCCCCGTCGCGGCTTCTCTCGGGGCTAAGGTCGGGTCCCCGGCTGCCCTGCCCCCGCCTCCGTCCCCCGCCCATGGTCTCCCGGTCCCGCGGCGCGGCCAGGCCGCCGCCCGCCGTACCTGGTGGTGGTTATAGGAGTTCCTCTGCTGCAGGAAGGCGGCGGCCGCCGCCTGGTGCTGCTGCTGGAGCTGCGGGCTGACGGGCGACCTCCGGCTCTGCGGCTGCTGCGGCGCCGCGGGCGGCGGGGGCTGCTGTTGAGGTATATTCATGGCGGGCGGCGGCGGAGGGGGCACAGCGGTAGCCGAGAAGGGGCCGCCGAAGCCGCCGCCGCCGCCGCCGCTCGTCGGAACGCTGAGCCCAGTGCAGCCGTGCGGCGACACGGGCGAGAAGCTAGGGAAGAAGGCCGGGTTCATGGACGACGGCAGCCCGGGGTAGAAGCCGTTCTCTGAGTCGGGGCTGGGCGGCGGCATGGCGCTGAGCGAGCCGCCGCTGCCGCCGCCCGGGGTGGTGGCAGACGAGCCGGGCGGCTGCGGCTGCGGCTGGGGCGGCTGCTGGGGTGGCGGCGGCTGCTGCTGCGGCTGGGTCGGCGGCGGCTGCTGGGGCTGGGGTGGCGGCGACGCGGTCTGCACCGACCAGGGGGTGCCGAAGCCGGGCAGCGGCGGCGGCGACGCGGAGCCGCCTCCCCCTCCGCCTCCTGGGGGCCCCCCGCCCCCGCCGCCGCCGCCGCCGCCCGGGTGTGGAAGGTCCGGGCTCTGCAGGCTGCTGAAGGCGCCCGCGCCAAGCGCACCTCCGGGCAGGAGGTTACTGGGACTGTTGAGCAGAGGGTGGTTGGGGGACTCCATGGAGCCCGGCGCGGGGTTCACCGGCGTCGAGGAGGCCAAGCCCGCATTGGGGGACTCGGCGGCGCTGCCCTCGCCCGCGGCTGGGGTCTTGCGAGGGCTGCCCGCGCCTCCGTGGCGGCGCCGCGGGGCTGCAGGCGGCGAGGGAGGGAGCTGCGGGAGCGGGGGCAGGTCTGCCGGACGCTGCCGCGGGGCGAAGTCCTGCGGCGAGAGGTGCTGCTGATGCAGGAGGCTGAACTGCTGCGGCGGCTGTTGCTGCTGGCGCTGAGCGAGCTGCGCCGGCTGGAGGAGCGGGCCGGCTGGCGGCGGCGGCGGGCTGAACCGACCGGGGCAGTGGAGCGGCGGAGGCGGCGGCGGCGGCTTCGAGTCCGGAGGGTGGGGAAGGTGGGGAGGGCTGAACTCTTTCCTCTTCTGGCTGCTCAGCTGCTGCTGCTGCCGCTTACTGAAGTCCTGCGGGGAGGAGGTGCGGCAGCAGCAGCAGGAGGAGGCGGAGGAGGAGGAGGGGTGGTGCAGACTCGGTTTGAAGTCCTGGGAGGGGAGGAGGTGGGTCACACCCGCGATCGTGCCGCCGCCGGGGTGGTGGTCGGGGAGTTTCTCCGTGGCCGCCGCCCCCGAAAGCGGCCGCGCCGGCTGCTGTGTCAGCCCCAGAAGCAGCTCATCCTGCATGGTCTGCTGATGCGCCAGGAACGGGGAGGAAGAGGAAGCGGCGGCGGCCGGGCTGCCCGCGCCGCCGCCGAGGGGGACGGAGAAGGGGGAGGCGGCCTCTAAGAAGCCGGTGACAGGCAACGGTGGTGGCGACAGTGGGCCGAAGGGCGTGGCGGAGGGCAGCGGGTTGACGGACCCCACGGCGTAAGGACCATACGCCTCGCCGCAGAACAGGGGCCCAGGACTGCTACTTCGGAGCGGGGCGGTCTGCAGCACCCCAAACCCGAAATCCCTCATTTATCAGGCCGCCGGCAGCGGGAGGAGACGCTCCTCGTCCCCTGCCCCACCTAGGAAGCCGCCGGCGCTGGGGTTGCGCGGCCGTGGTGGAAGGAGGGGGAGTCAGTGAGAGAGGGACACCGTGACTGAGCCAGGGGGCACCGACTTCGGCCCCACCACCCCTCGCGGCGATCGCCGCCGCCGCCGCCGTCGCAGTCGCCGTAGCCGCCCTGGCCGCTTAAGAACCCCGGAACGTGCGTCAGCGCCACCTCACAATCGCGCCGCCCCCCGCGGTGCGTCCCGGCACGCGCGGGCGCGAGGCCACCGCGTCCCCGTCGCCCCTCCCCGCCCCTCATTACTATGCAGACGCAGCCGAGGGCGCGCTCGCGCTCCCGGGAGGGCGGGAGCGAGCGGCGTGTCCCGTTGGGTCTCTCCGCTCCCGGGGAAATGGACAGGCCGGTTGGGGTGGGGGTCGGCTGGCAAACAGTGGTCGGGAGCATTGGGCGGGCGCGCGCACGAGGGCAAGCACGCGCGGGAGGGAGGGACGGTTCCTGGGCAACGGCCCCTCCTTGGCGCGGGATCCGCGCAGAGTCTGCCTGGGTCGCACGCGTCTCCGCCCCTCGCGGTGCCTCCTCCTTCCTGTCACCTCGGTTCCGCCCTGGGTGGGGAGAAGCCCTGCTGCACCACTCGGGCTTCCCAGAGCGGGGCTGGCCCGCGGGGGAAACTGAGGCCCGGGACCCCGACCGGCGCCTGCACTGTGCGACCCGCGTAGAAATAGGCGCCCGAGGGGCCCCCAGCGCAACGCGGGAGCCCGGCCCAGCCCGGGGGTCCTGTGGTGAACTAGCGTCTGGGCTCTGCCGGCTTGAAGTCCGCTGAGCGCCTCGCCGCGCACCTCTAGACCCCGAGTCCCCGATCTAGGGCCTCCTTGTAGCCCTAGGTAGCGCCCTCTAAGCTTGTTTCTGTTTTTAGGCGCTGGTAGGAGTGCTGTCACCGACGTCGTAGAGCCGCCGAGGGTGTTTCTGTAGGGTAAACATGAAGCCTCGGCTATATTCCAGGCATTTTCACTTGGGTAAGAAGGAACAAAGTCCCTGGAACAAACACGCTCCGCGTGGTTATTTACACACTCGGATGCGTGGAACGGGTTCCACGGCGAGCTCCCATAGTAACCCCGGGCCAGCTCCGCTTCATAAAAGCCTTTCGTGTGCCATCAGGGCTGCAGCGTGGGACTCCTCCCCACCACATTCATTCCGGCGTCCCCGCCCCTTCCCCCCAGGGAGACTCTAATTTATTCCTAAGCTTTATGAATTTTCAAGGGAGAAATAGTTCTTACATCAGGGAAAAAAGGAGGTTCTGACTCAGCAGCAGACTTGTTGAGACTTGCAAAATGGAAGGGAGAGAGCTTTCCATGGTAGAGCTCTTTAGAAGCATTAGAGGAGGAACTAATCCTGTGTTTCCTTTTGTATAGAAACATTTTACATAAAGTATTTGAAGGTCTAGATAAAGAATAACAGAGTGATCCATACTACATGATGAGGTGAACTTTATGTTTCTGTTTTGTAATTTTAACTGTTTTGCTTGATGCTTAGAGAAATGAAACTATTAAATGAATCCTAGAATATAGACTCAAACCCCCAAAGCAATAGAAGGTGGATTCAGACTTTACTTGATTTTGGTTTACAAGTGAACTAAGATTAAATATTTAATTTTATAAATTAGCATACTCTTACTGATGTAGGCAGAGTGTACATTTTTATAAGTCCTCATTCTCTATTTGAATTCTACTTCTGTTCAGTGTCTCAAATTTATATAAATCGAAATAAACATGGTAGAAAGAGAGCAACATTGCCCCAGGGAACTATACTTCATGTATAATGTTTATCTCTGCTATCCTGTCCAATGAACCAAGTTTTATGTTGCCTTTACAATAAGGAAAAAGTACTTTTTAAAAAACTCAAATGGTTCAGAATTTGGTCAGGTGAATAGAAAATTGGTTCAACTTATTAATCTCAAAATCATTTTTAACAGTCAGGCAAAATGTAGAACTGGAGAAGTATTTTTATTCTAAATTACAATGTCTAGAAAATAACCTGAGCTCAGAATTTAAAATATAAATGGTTATTTTCAGAGTATATATTGACATATTAAATATTCATTTTTTAAAAGGTATTGTGCAGGAAAAAAAACTACTTCTGCAACTAAGGAATGTAAAGTCTTAACAACGGATGATTTTTTTCCAAGTACAGTTGTATTTGATTGGAATCATTTGCAGATCCAACAACAAATCTTGAAATAGGGGGAAAATACAGGTATAAACCTTAGCTCAATTATCCACTAACACCGCAGTTAGTAAAGAGGAGAGAGCACATACTTTTAAAAGCTAACTGGTGCCTTTCTGGGCTAGAGTTTTGAACAAAAACAAGATTTCTTAGTGCTCTGGTACTAGTTTTGTCTTAGAGGATTTAGAGCTCTCTGAAACGGGGAAAAGCCATCAAGTTTGTTATTACATAATAATGTCAAACTTCATATTAAATACACCAAATTCCAAATCCTGCCAGGGCCTCTACTCACTACTTTTGTGAGGGCCCCATTTTTTTAGAGCAGAAAGTTACTTTCTGACATCTTGTAAGCTGGTGATCTTGCCCTTATTGAAAATATTCAAATGAAAAGGTTTCCTAGGGTGGAGAGTGGAGTGGGGTAGGGAGAAGGAGCAGCAAATACTGAGGAGGGACTATGGTCCTCTAGCAGTTTCCATGCCAAGATCTTATGAGTCCATTCAATGATTTTTTTGGTTTTTTACATGAAAATATTTTGACTCATGATCATTAACTAGGACCTTGACTTTGTATTTGACAGTCCCTTATTCATTTACTCCCACTGTCCTGGGCAAGTATTTTTAAAAGTATTTTTGCTACAACCCAATATATGTGCAAGTACACACTCATGCAACTGAAATAAAGCTGCTATTAAGCAATTCTTTTAATAATGCAACAAACTCCTTTTTATAATTCTATTTTCATTTTAAAATCACGTTTGATCTCAAATTACAAAGTTGGTTTTAACACCCTCTATCAGATTATGAACTGAAAAACCACTGTCCTAGACCATTTCAAACATTCTGCTCAATCTGAAAACCTCTTGTCACATCTCTCCTACATGCATCTGCTAGCATGTAGCACTCTCAGCTGCTGAGCTACATGCTTATTTCACTGAGAAAAAAGAAGCAACCACAGGAAAACTTCCACAGTCTCCCTGCATCTGTCCCTGCACACCTTGCCTTCCCTCTCGATACAATGGATGGCCCATCTGCCCATACTCCTGTCTAAGGCCAGCCTCTCCACTGGCGGAGCAGATCCTACCTCTAACCTACTCAAGACATGGGCTCCAACAGTTTTCTCTCTCTGTCCTTCATCATGACCTCTTTCCTCTCCAGGAAACACTTCCATGTGCACAAAAACTTGCTTTACTAGTTCTCACCTTTGAAAAGTAAAGCCAAAACCTTTTGACCTTATATTCTCCCTCCTTTAGCTACTGCCTTCTTTTTCTGCTTTTACATTGCCTGAACGACTTGCCCATTTGACTGAGTGTCTCATAGATACCTCAAATTAAACACGTCAAAAATTAAACTCCCTGCCTCACTAGGCCCAATCCCTGTGGCGCTCCATTGTTCTGGTTGCTCAGGCCAAAAACCCTGGAGTCATTCTTCACTTCAATCCACTTCTGTCCTTCTTGCATCATATCCAAGCCATCAGAACATGTTGCTTGTCCTACCTTTAAATTACTGGCATAACCTAGAGATACCGTGGGTTTTGTTCCAGATTACCACAATAAAGCAAATATCCCAATAAAGCAAGTCACACCAATTTTTTGGTTTCCCAGTGCATGTAAAAGTTATGTTTACAGTATATTATACTCTAAACATAAGTTCTCAATTATAGTCTAAACATAACTTGTAATTACATTTAAATAAGTGCACAGTAGCATTATTCTGAAAAATATACACACATTAATTTAAAAATACTGCTAAAAAGTGCTAATGATCATCTGAGCCTTCAGTAAGTCATAATCTTTTTGTCAGTGGAGAGTCTTGTCTCGACATTCATGGCTGCTGACTGATCAGCATGGTGGTGGCTGAAGGCGGAGGTGGTTGTGGCAATTTCTTAAGACAAAGATAGAGTTTGTCACATAAATTGAATCTCCCTTTCATGAAAGATTTCTCTGTACCATGCAATGCTGTTTGATAGCATTTTGTCCACAGAACTTCTTTCAAAATTAGTCAGTCCTCTCAAAACCTGCTAATGCTTTATCATCTAAATTTATGTAATATTCTAAATCTTTTTTGTCATTTCAGCAGTGTTCATAGCATCTTCATGAGGAGTAGATTCCGTCTCAAGAAACCACTTTCTTTGCTTATCCATGAGCAGCAACTCCTTCTCCATTCAAGTTTTATTGTAATATTGCAGCAATTCAGTCACATCCTCAGGCTCCACTTCTAATTCTAGTTCTCTTGCTATTTTTACTACATCTGCAGTAACTTCCTTCACTGAAGTCTTGAACCCCTCGAAGTCATCCAAGAGGGTTGGAATCAGCTTCTTCCAAACTCCAGTTAATGTTGACACTTTGACCTCCCATGAGTCACACATATTCTGAATGGCAGCTAGAATGGTGAATCCCTTCCAGAAGGTTTTCAATTTGCTTTGCCCTTATCCATCAGAGAAATCACTATGGCAGCTATAGCCTTATGAAATTTATTTCTAAAATAATACTTGAGGCTGTCCTGGTGACAACTTAGTGATTTTAAATTTTAAAATGAAAATAGAATTATAAAGAGGAGTTAGTTGCATTATTAGAAGAATTGCTTAATAGCAGCTTTATTTCAAAACAATCTCAGCACTTTGGGAGGCCAAGGCGGGCAGGTCACTTGAGGTCAGGAGTTCAAGACCAGCCTTGCCAACATGGTGAAAACCATTCACTTCTAAAAATACAAAAATTAGCTGGGTGTGGTGGCGCATGCCTGTAATCTCAGCTAATTGGGAGGCTGAGGCAGGAGAATCGCTTGAACCTGGGAGGCGGAAGTTGCAGGGAGCCGAGATAGTGCCACTGAACTCCAGTCTTATAGCCAGAGCCAGATTTTGTCTCAAAAATAATAATAATAATACTTGAAACTCATAATTACTCCTGAATCCATGGGCTGCAGAATTGAAGTTGGGTTAGCAGGTATGAGAACAACAATTATCTTCTTGTACATCTCCATCAGAACTCTTGGGTGACCAGGTATATAGTCAATGAGCAGTAATATTTTGAAAGCAATCTTCTTTTCTAAGCAGTAGATCTCAACAGTGGACTTAAAATGTTCAGTAAACTATGCTCTTTCCAAGTTTTGTGGTTCCATTTACCAAGCACAGGCAGAGTAGACTTAGCATGATTCTTAAGGGCCCTAGGATTTTCAGAATGATTAATGAGCATTGGCTTCAAGTTAAGGTCACCAGCTACATTAGCCCTTAAGAAAAGAGTCTGTCTTTTGAAGCTTGAAGCTAGGCATTGACTTTTCCAGCTATGAAAGTCCTAGATGATACCTTCTTCCAATAGAAGGCTGTTTTTTCTACGTGAAAACTTATTTAGTGTAGCCACCTTCATCAGTTATCTTAGCTAGATTTCTAGATAACTTGCTGCAGCTTCTCCATAAGCACTTTCTGCTTTACCTTGCACTTTTATGTTACGAAGACAGCTTCTTTCCTTAAACACGAACCGACCTCTGCGAGCTTTGAACTTTTTTCTTCTGCAGCTTCCTCACCTCTCTCAGCCTTCACAGAATTGAAGAGAGTTAGGGCCTTGCTCTGGAGTAGGCTTCAGCTTAAGGGAATGTTGTGGCTGGTTTAATTTTCTCTATCCAGACCATTCACACTTTTTCTATATCAGCAATAAAGCTGTTTCACTTTCTTATCACTCGTGTTCACTGGAATAGTACTTTTAATTTCCTTCAAGAACTTTTCCTTTGCATTCAGAACTTGACTAACTACTTGGTGCAAGAGGCCTAGCTTTCAACCTATTTCAGCTTTCCACATACCTTCCTCACTAAGCCTAATTATTTCTAGCTTTTCATTTAAAGTGAGAGACATGTACCTCTTCCTTTCACTTGAATACTTAGAGGTCGTTAGAGTGTTATTAATTGGCCTAATTTCAATATTGTTTTGTCTCAGGGAATAGGGAAGCCCAAAGCCTTTATTGATTAAATTATTGTCTTATATGGTTGTGGTTTGTGATGTCCCAAAACAGTTACACTAGTAACATTAAATATTATGATCACAGATCCCCAAAATAGATATAATAATAATGACAAAGCTTTAAGTAACGCAAGAATTACCAAAATGTAACACAGAGATACAAATTGAGCCATGCTGTTGGGAAAATTGTGCTGATAGACTTGCTTGATGCAGGGTTGCCACCAACCTTCAATTTGTGAAAAACCCATTATCTGAGAAGCACAATATAGCAGAGCACAATAAAGCGAGGAGTGCCTATATATCCAGAATCCAAGCACTTCACCCCATTCTCACCACAAGCAGCCTGGACCAGGCTACATCGTTGCTCTCACCTACTAACTCGTATTCCAGCTTCTGATCTTGCCCCTCTCCAGTCTGTTCCCAACATAGCAGCCAGGATGATACTTCTGAAGTGGAAGACAGGTCATGTCAACTCCTCTGACTAAATACTTACATTTTCTCAGAATAGAAGTCAAAACATTTTAATAACCAAAAGGTTCTTCAGAATCGCTCCTGCCACCACTAACCCCTCTGAAAGCTTCCCTACAGTGGAATGCTTATTTCTGTAACAGCCCAGGCCAATTCAGCCTTAGGGCCTTTGCCCTCGCAATTCCCACACCTGGAATACTTGTCTCCTAAGTAGCAACAGGGCTCACTTAATCATGTTTTTATCATTTTTTTTCATGTCTCTCTCACGTCTCTGCTAAAAGTCATTTTTCAGTGATGTCTTCCCTGACCACCATTGTAATAAAATGACAACCCCCCGCCGCCACTCTTTCCCAGCCTTCTTATTCCTCATAAGGTGTTTGTGTTTCCATCTGACCCACTATGTACTTGAACTGTTTATCTGTCCTCTCTCTGAGATCACAAGCCCATGAGGAAAGGTCCATGCCTGTTTTGCTCACTGTTGTATCCTCAGCACTTACAACGATGCCTTGCACATAGTAGGCTTTCAAGAGTTGGGAATTGCATGCACTTATTAAAGGGGTTGTTGAATTAATAAATAGCAATTTTAGGAAATGATAGCTAAAAGAATACAATAGTAATACAAGGGTCTGTTTATAAATGGTT
This sequence comes from Homo sapiens, assembly GCF_000001405.40. NCBI lineage: Eukaryota > Metazoa > Chordata > Mammalia > Primates > Hominidae > Homo > Homo sapiens. The sequence goes on along the minus strand of NW_013171799.1, from coordinate 67,257 downwards.
AATTTGTTTTCAGGAGCTGTCCAAACACCATGCAGATGCTCCTAGGATTCTTAAACTAGCCAAAAATAATTCCAGGCATTGTCAGATATAGGATAAGTACATGAAGACAGGTAAGTCATCCCAAGACTATAACGCTGGGGAATAGATAACCCTGGAGTACAAGGGGGAAAACTTCTGTCTCAGGAGACTAGAGTTGGGACTCCAGGAACACAGGGGTTCATTACAGGAGCTTGAACAAAGAGAGGAGTCAAGACCCCATCTCATAGAAATGGAACCAGTTCAGGAGGCACTGCAGTTAAGGTCAACTGGATGCCTTACTTCCATGCTGCTGGTTTCTTTCTGTGGCAGAGCCCATGCCCATAAATGTAATTAACCCCACAGAATGGGAAAGCTTTGAGTCTTTAGATGGGAGCTAATTAGCTCTGGTTTGGAGTTGGAAAAGGAGAAAGTAGAAATTAAGATTCATTCTGACCTTGACCAACTTCAAGGTGCTTTATTGATGTGGCACTCAAGAGTAGTACCATCCTCAATTACTTCTAGTTCTCCTACTTTTCTAAACCTTCCTTCATAATTTCCTCCTTCACTTTCTCCTTACATATTCTTTACGTGTGAGAGTTCCTTAGGCTTATGTTTCTGGTCCTTTTCTATATTTCTACCTACTTTTTCTAGATGAATTTATTATCATGTTTTCAAACATCATCTAAATGCTAATGTCTTCCAAATCCATCTCTTTAGCCTCATGGTCAAAATCATATTTCCAACTGCCTGTTTAACAGTTTGACCTGGGTGTCCTTCAGCCACATCAATTCAATGTGTCTATACCTGCATTCAACATCTTCCCCAAAATCTGCTTCTCCTATTTTGCTTCTTGTCTTGGCTGACGTCATCATCACACAACCAGTTTCTCAAGCTGAAACATGAGTCATCCTCTTCCTTCATCTCTCTCACCCTCCAAAAACAATTGTCAACCATGCTCTGTCAATTATACTGCAGAAACGTTACTCAAATGTAATTCCTTCATGTATCTCCGCATTCCCTTGCCTTTCACATTCCTGGAACACAAGTGCCCAATAAGTATTTGTTGATTAGTAATTGCCCAATGAATGCTGTAAGAAGAAAAGATGAAGAAAAGGAGAAAACAAGGTAAGGAAAGGAAGGAGGGAGATGGAAGGAAGGAAAGAGGTAGATGTTTCCAAAGCATGCTTTACAAAGACATGAGCCATTTTGTGGATAACTGTAGCATTGTTACCTTATGTTTACTGGAGAAAAAATAAAATGAATAATCATAATAACAATGACAAAAAAGTTATTTTCCTTCCCAATATTTTTTCCTTGACAATACCAAACTAAAAGTTTCACTCTGGTTATTACGATCTCTATTCTGGTTATTATGCCATACAAAGATGAACTCATTGACAAAGAAAAATATCAAGAATCTTCCCCTGATGACAAAGTGTAGCCCCGAAACATAATAGAAGGTCTGTGTTACCCTTTGTGGCATCCAGGGGATTTATCATCCCACTCCAATACCCCCACCTAGGAGAGAACCTGTCAGCCTCTCCAGTAATTTCTGCCACGATGCTCACTGGGCCCTTACGTAGACTGACTGACTTCTCTATTGCTACTTATCTTGTATCTTTAAGGCCATGTGAACTCGATTGAATTACAAGTCTTTGTAGGCAGTTGCTATGCCTTATATGTTCTTTAATTTTCCTAGTTCTTATTGATTGATTTATGTATTCAGAAACTCTCTGTTGAGTGCCTGCTCTGTACCAGACACTGTGCAAGGCACTATGGGTATAACTGTGAAAAGAACAGAAAATATATCCATTATTCTGTACATCCTCACAGAGGCTGTAAATAAATACTGTTGACATTAGTTATGATAATTCCCAACCCTAATTATCTGGGCAGAGTCATAAACAGTGAGACTGTAGGCTGAAACTGACCTACTAAATTGGAATCCTACTTGCTGCAATATGACCTTGCCGGGCTGGTCATCGGTGGAGCCTTGTGATCTATACAGAATATTGAGGTAAGGCAAATCTAGCAAGAAGGCAGAAAAAATTACACACTGAAGCTCATCTCAATCCTGGCTTGAAATGGGACTTCTATTATTTCCTTTTCTTGTCACAATATACTTTGTGAGTAGATAAAGCGAATAATATTTTTGTTTTGTTGTTGGAAAACCAAAGCCCAGAGGTAAAGTCGTTTGCTTGAGATGGTTTGCATAGACTGAGATTAATGCCCCCATCTCCTCATTTCTCAGTCTCTTGCTTCATTAGTTGGCCCTCAGGCTAGTGCTAGAAGCAAAGACAAAGAGTGGGCCACTGCTCAGCAAGTACCTGAGTAAAACAGGGTCACAGGGACACACGCTTAAAAACGGTGCTTGGGTATATATATCCTGAGGACTTGAAACCAGTATGTCGAAGCGACGTCTGCACTCTTGTGTTCACTGTAGCATTAGTCGCAGTAGCGAAGACACGGAAACAACCTAAGTGTTCACCAACAGATGAATGGATGAAGCAAATGTAGCATATATACACAGTGGAATACTATTCAGCCTTTAAAAAGAAGGAAATCTGGCTAACTGCAACAACATGGATGAACCTGGAGGATATTATATAAGTGAAATAAGCCAGGCATGGAAAGGTAAAAACTGAATGTTCTCACTTATATGTGGAATCTAACACAATCAAATTCATGGAAGCTGGGAATAGAATGGTGGTTATCGAGGCCAGGGGCTGGGAGAACAGGGAATGTTGGTCAAAGGGTAGAAAGTTGCAGTTAGATTTAAAATGATAAGTATTTAAGCTGATTGATATGTTAACTAGCTTGATTCAATCATTCAACTCTGTATACATATAACATCACTGTATGCAATAATAATATACAATTATAATGTCAAAAAATAAAACTTTTTTTTTTTTAAAGCAACAGTCCCTGCTTCTACTAAAAGTTAAGGAGTGGAAGGGATAATCCTTCAAGTCTTCACAGTGACACCTAGCTACATGAATGAAAATTGGTAGTAGAGACCTCAGAGAAAAAGCATCTTATTTTCAAAATAACATATCCCACAGAAAATCAGAGATATTCCTCACATATGCTTACTCATTTTTCTCCTGTAGTAAGAATGAGGTCTGGCAGTATATATTGGATATATTGTATTTTTCCACATTGTGGTAAGCTAACCACTTCAATTGATAAATTATTCTAGGCAGAGAAAAGTGATGCATCTTGACTAAATATTAAATATGTAGACTTTAAGTAGATGAAGAGCATTGCATCTATCAAATTTGACCTTAATATGTTTAGAATCTTAGAAGATTCAACATTTTAAATGTTTGTTTTCAAAACTCTAAACGTGCAGTTAAAAAGAAATATCATGAAGCTTATATGGTAGCAGGCATTATCACCAGCCTTTGTACAAGGATTGATTAAATGTAAAGACAAGAGAGGAAAAACATTCAGAGGGAAGAGGGATATTTGATTTTAGTCTTAGTGCTTCATTGTCAGTGCTAGCAATTCACTTTTGCTGTCTCCTTTTTTTTGTGGGACTTGAGAAAGGACTATAGGACTTTATGTCATCTCACATCCAAAATTCATTTATAGTGTAAGCCATTGTACTAACATTGGAGTACGTAATTCATAACAATAAGAAAAAACATAGACCTCAATTTTCAATAGAAAAAAATAGACAAACTGGTACAGAGAATAAGAAACTCTAAGATTTTCATAAGGACATGAATCGTGTATATGAAAATACCATTGTTTGTAGGCCCACAGTTGATGCATATTCATCCCATATTAAGAGATAGGGAAGAGTGATATGATGGACACACCAGGGCTATGGAGTCAGAGACGTGGCTTTTAGTCCGACTTCCTCTGTTACTATGTAACTTTGGCAGTTAAACTTTGGGAACCTCAGTATTCTCATCTGTGGAGGTAAAGACAAACATTACCTGTGAAGCGGGGGCTATGGTGATGATAATTAGCAATATTTTAAGTAGAGAGTCTTCTACAGTGTTTGACACAAAATAGATGTTTAAACAAACAGAAAAAACATCTTAGCTGTTATCTGCTATGCAGTTCAAGGTAAAGAGTAGATGAGAAAGCCAGCCTGAACACAGTGGTAGTCCTGGAGAATGGATAACCAAAGCAAAAGCAAAGCAAAACAGTTACCAGACAACATGGAGGTTGGTAATGGCAGTGAAATCCTTGATTGCTAGCAGTGGAAGGAGATATCCAAATAAAAAATGAGAAAAAAAAAAAGCTAAATTCCTCTTGGATCTGGAAAACATAAAAAATTTCTGAAACTTAAATGTTAAACATATTCAATGACTATTTTGTACCTCTAAGAAAGACCAGAGACCAGTTATGCAATTAGGGCAAACTCTGACTTTAAGGATATTACTGAATCCCACTACCAGTTCTGACACCTATGGGGAAGGTTATGTTTACCTGGGCATGTTAACCATCCTCATTCTCTGATTTCTCATCTGATAAATAACATAGAGAAATATGTTTGAAAACACCAAATGCTGTTAGAGCACTGATCTTCAAACTAGGATATGCCTAGACCATTGTGGTCCAATAGAAATACAACACAAGCCATAAATGTGAGCTATATATGTAATGTGAACTTTTCTAGTAGCCACATTTTATTTTTTACAGACAGGGTGTGGCTCAGTTGCCCAAGCTAGAGTGCAGTGGTGTGATCATAGCTCATTGCAGCCTCCCACCTCAGCTTCCCAAGTAGCTAGGACTACAGACGTACACTGCAATGCATAACTAATTTTTAAAAAAAAGTTTTTGTAGAGATGAAGTCTTGCTGTGTTGCCCAGGCTGGTCTCCAACTCCTGTACTCAAGCTAGCTTCCTGCTTTGGCCTCCCAAACTGCTGGAATTAAGGTGTGCACTAGCCACATTTTAAAAATTAAAAAGATACAAGTGAAATTAACTTGAGTAATGTATTTTATTTAAATCAATATATGCAAATTATTATTATTTCACCATGCAATTGATATACAAGTTATCACCACTTTACTGCTTTTCTCCATCTATTAAGATGATTGTAGTTTTATGGTTTAGTGTATTTAGTATATTAAATTGGTTGATTTTCATATTTTAAGCCAACCTTGTATTCCTGGGATACATTTCATTTGGTTATGGTGTATAATCCTTTTTATATGTTATTGGATTTGGATTGCAAGTAATTTGTTGAGAATATTGGCATGTATGTTTATGGGGGTTATCAGCTTGTGGTGTTTTTTTTCTTGTGCTGTTTTTGGTATTAGAGTAACTAATACTAGTCTCATAGAATGAGTTGGGAAGTATTCTTGTAATTTTTTTGTTAAGAGTGTGTGAAGTATTGATATTAATTCTTCTTTAAGTTTGTGGTAGAATTGACGAGTAAAGCCATTTGGGCCTAGACTTTCCTTGTGGAAAGTTTAAAAATTGTTAATTCAATTTGTGTTTGTTATAAGTCTATTCAGACTTTTCATTTCTTCTTATTTTAGTATGAGTTGTTGGTGTTTGGGAATTTGTTTATTTTATCTAGGCTTTCTAATTTGTTGATATACAATTGTTAATGGCATTCTCTTTTTTAAAAAGTTATTATTTACTTATTTTTTTTTTAAATTAATTTGTTGCTGGGCTGGTCTCAAATTCCTGGCTTCAAGTGATCCTCCTGCCTTGGCCTCCCAAAGTGCTGGAATTATAGATGTGAGCCACTGCATCCTGTCTGTAATGTTCTCTTCTAATCCTTTTTATTTCTATGAGGTTGATGCTGAGGTCCCCTTTTTTATTCCTGATTTTAATATTTTGATTCCTCTTTTCTTGTTCAGCCTCACTAAGTGTTCATTAATTTTATTGATTTTTTTAAATAAGTAACTTTTGATTTCATTGATGTTCGCTATTTGTTATCTATTTCGTTTATTTGTGCTTTAATATTTATAATGTTATTTATTCTGCTTGCTTTGGTTTTAGTTTATTCTTCTTTGGTAGTTTTGAAAGATAGAAGTTTAGATTATTAATTTGAGCTCTTCCTTCTTTTCATAATAAGCATTACAGCTACAAATTTCTCTCTGATTGCTGCTTAAGCTGCACCTAATAAGTTTTGGTATGTTGTATTTTTGATCTCATTAATCTCAAATAATTTTCTAATTTGCCTTGTACATTTTAAAACCATTTGTTATTTAAAAGTGTTTAGATTACTTTTTACATATTTGTGTTTTCCAAATGTATTTGTTATTGTGACTTTTAAATCTATTCCGTGATGGTCAAAGAACATCCTTTGTGTGATTTAACAGTCTTTAAATTTATTGAGGTTTCTTTTTATGGCCTTTTAACATACGCTTTATCACGGAGAATTTTCACTGCATACTTGAGAAGAATGTATGCTCTGCTATTTTTAGAGTTTTCTACAGATATGTTACATCTAGTTAGTTTATAGTGTTGTTCAAGTCTTCAGCCATTATTGGAAGCAGGTTATTGATGTTTCCAATTATTATTGTTAAATGTCTATTTCTCCTTTCAACTTATGTATTTGAATTCATGTTTTAGGAGGTTCTGTTGTTAGGTGCATTTATGTTTTTATTGTTTGTCTTCCTGATGAATTGACCCTTTTATCACTATGTCTTTTTTTGACTCTAGTAACAAATCTTGTCTTAAAGCCCTTTTGTCTGATACTAGTATAGCCACTCCACTTCTCTTTTGGATACTGTTTGTATGGTATACAATTTTCTATCTTTTCACTTTGGACTTACTTATATCTTTGAATCTAGTGTGTCTATTGTAGATGGCTTATGATTGAATTGTGTTTGCTTCATTCTGCATTCTCTGTCTTTTGACTGGAGAGGGATACGCATTTTTATTAGAGGAATGATATAGTCATTATTTGATAAATTGTACATTCATTGCTTTATTAAAAATTAGCTGATAAGGATTATCATATTAATTTATATTCCTTTTATAATTGATGAGATGCATTACTTGTATTAGATCTATATTAAGTTTGACGTCCTTTCATAATCTGTCTTATAGGATTCATTTTGTAACATATTTCTCAGTGTTCTGTGGGTTTTGTTGTTTTTTGTTTGTGAGATGGAGTCTTGCTCTGTTGCCCAGGCTGGAGGGCAGTGGTGTGATCTTGGCTCACTGCAACCTCCGCCTCCTGAGTTCAAGCAATTCTCCTGCCTCAGCATCCTGCGTAGCTGGGATTACAGGCGCCCAACACCACGCCCAGCTAATTTTTGTATTTTTAACGGAGACAAGGTTTTGCCATGTTGGTCAGGCTTGTCTCAAACTCCTGACCTCAAGTGATATGCCTGCCTCGGCCTCCCAAAGTGTTGGAATTACAGGTGTGAGCCATCGCACCCAGCCTCAATGTTTTAATAATATTTTTTGCAATGCAAATTAACACATTTGTTTGAATTGAAAAATAGAGGCAGGATTTTTCTGGAGGGAAAGTTCAATTTGGCTTACTGGTTTGCCAATATATGTAGTACACATGTTCCATAAATTGATCTAAATATGAAGGACCACAGTTTTGATTTTTTATAAATGTATAAAATTCAAGGGCAAAGTATAATGCAAATATGAGTTCAAAGAGAAAAAAATCTAAAATTTTTAAATTAAAACATCTTTCTCATTAAAAAAAGATAGTCATGGGTATCAGATTGTTATGATATTCAGATTTCATTAAATACATTAAAAATAATAGTAATTTAAAGTGACAAAATAAAATATATACTGAAATTACATCCTTTGCAACAATTATTTCAACTTATAATATTTTTAGAGGACTTAAAATGTATGTATAAGACATTTAAAAGTGTTCAAATATGCAAGCTATGTTTTGGAAAATATTCAGTTTCTTTAGGTAATTCTTAAGGGAAAAAGTTTGAAGAATAGATTAAAACCCTCCAAACTCATAGTCTCTAGTTGCCTTAGTTACTACTATATTCCTAGTACCAATCACAGCCCCGTGATTGAATGAGTGAATTAATGTGTTAAGTGCCCTGAATGGTATTGCAAATTACATACTTGCTGCCTAAAGAAAGGACAACCCAGGAGGCTGATGTTTTCCTACCTAGGTTAGGTAATTAGTTAGTAGGTAGAGAGCTGGGTCTTGATGTAAATGGGGAAAGGAAAGGGATACCTACAATCCTGACTCTCTTCCAGACAGCCCTGGATGGCTACGTTTACCTTTGGCAGTCCCTAGATAATGAGAGTAAGATTAGGACCTAGACTTAAGAGAGCTCAACAAAGTGTTAAGATCCATACACAGCAATTACCTTGAATTCTACACACTTTCCTGGAGCATCTACTTCTTGCCTGGCACTCTGCAAGGCACTGGGCATGGAAAGGTGAAGACGACAAGGTACATGGGCAATATACTTAAAGAAAGAGTTCTGATGAAGCAGGATAAATGCTGTAAGAGGACCATATCATGTTATAAGTTCAAGTACTGGAAAGTGCAGTTATTGACCATTTTGGCCTACCAAAAACTGGTAACTCATATGGTTCAACCTACATGTTATATGCAAATCCATGTGAAAGAACAGTAAGTCTTGAGGAATTTATTAAGCAGAGCAAATGATGTGCAGTTGGTGACATTTGAGCTGTACATTGAAGGATAAGGGAGAAGATGAGTGGATGGATAGGTGGCAGGTGGGGCATTTGAGAGAGCATAACCAGTAAGAGCAAAAGTGGAGAGTAATGGAAGGTGCAGATGCCATCTGGAAAAGGACACTGAGTGTTCTTTGTGTTGAGATCTGGGAAGTGAGGATAAGAGCGGAAAGGAGCCTCAGACGTATGTTAAGAGTGCTGCAGGCCCAAGACAACACTGTTCCGCAAGCAAAGGCAAGCTACCAAAACTTTTCTTAGAGGGAGTGTTGTTAACAGAAATATTTAGAACCCCCTCAGGTGGCTGAATGGGGAATGGGTTGCAGATAAGGAGATTGAAACTGGAGGCACTGAGATACTTAGGAGGTGGCTGCAATAGTTAAGGTGAATATAGTAGATGTGTACAGGGGTTGAGGAGTGGGCATGTTTCTCTGATGTAATTGTCATAGTTTGGCCAATTATTAGGTTTGACGGGTTAGTTAAAAGAGGTGCAGGTTCAGGAGTGGCGGGAAAGAGTAAGCTGAGTGGAGATATCAGAGAGTAAGAGTAGGGTTTTGGTCTATGGATCTTGGTTTTTGTTGGTGTGCAGTTGATAGCTGAGGCCATGAAAGTGTATGGGATTATCAGGCAAACTTACCTAGGGAAAGCAGGGAAACAGAATAAGGGCAAAGGGCAGAGGAGGGAGTTAGGGATGAATTTGTACCTTGTACTTTGCCTCATTTTATCTCTGTCACAGCACTTGTTTACCTGAGTGTCCACTCTTCACAAGTTTGTGAGATCTCCAAAGATGAGTATGAGCTAGATCTTATCCATTCTTTGGAATCCTCAAAGCTCCACTATACTCAAAAGGTAGCCACTTAAAGAAGTACTGACTGGATCATCCCCTTATTTTCTAGGTTTCAGGCATTGTTCTAAGTGCCACATAGGTGCCATTCCATTTCACACTTCATAATAGCTTTATAAATTGATGCTATTATTAGCCCCATTTTACAGATAAGGAAACTGAAGCATGAACTCATTCAAGGACACAATGAGTAAGAGCCTGGATTTAAACTCAGACAGTCTAAAACCAGAGGTCACTGAGTACTAAAGCCTATGCTATGGAATGAGTGGGATCAGAGTGACTTCTGTTTAGTACTTTGCAGCTTTGAATTGCTTTCATAAGCAATTCTAGTATCCTCAAAGTAACTTTGTAAGATGGGGGGGGGGGTAATACTATTATCTACATTTGATTTGTGAGTAAATGAAAGCTAATGTCAAGTATATTCCTGAAGACACACAGTAAGTGGCAAAATCACCACTGTCTTCCGAGTTACATTCCTGTGTTCTGTTCACTCCATCTTGTTTCCTGTGAATCCAGTTGTCTGCCCTATTGCTCAACAAGATAAAATGTCTGGGCTGGTGGCTGGAGGCTGGAGGAAGAATCTGGAAAGAGAGAGAGACTGTGGAAAAGGCATAGAAAGACCTTTGAACTAGCAGAACATATTTCTTTGAGGGACTTAGGAACTTCATTCTGGTAAGACTACAAGATATCAAACTTACTTGTGAATTCTAACATAGTCTCTTTTATTAATAATCAAGAATGTTTGAAATTTAGGTACAAACTGTGTATAGAAATGATTGGTTTGTTGGTTGTAAATGTAAACAGAGATAATTTACTAACTTGTTATTTCTTCATCCTTGCTGAGGTCATACCGTAACTTTTCCTTAGGCATAACATCAGGGGTCCCTATAGTGTCTAAAGGCTTTAGTCTCTTTGGAGCCTTCTGTAGTTCATTTACTGAGGAGGATAAGATTTATCCTCTTCATTGGAGAATGGAAACAAGAATGATGGATTCTCAACTTGTATAAGGCATTTGTTTTACCTAATCCTCTACCACACATAGATTTTTTTTTTTGATGTCTAGTCTCTTAGCTAGGATCAACTCACAAAAGATTTCAAAGGAACTGAAAATGAGATTGATATTAAGCTTTATACTTGTGTTCAGCTCATTTTAGTTCAGAAAAAAATGTCCCCGTACATCTGACAGATACTGCCTTATTTGAAATTTACAAATCTTAGGCAAGGTTGTCCTGCCATTTCTCTGCCATTACACAAGATTGGTTATCTTGCCAAGTTTCACTATTGCTAATATAGACTCTGAAGCAACAAATATTACAAAGGATTTATAGAAGAGAAATCTCCTGTTTTGTAAGTTAAATATAGACTTGTTTTTTCATATGAATGGTGAAAGTATATTATCTCTATGGCCAATATGTTTAGGCCCTTAACTTATAAAATAAGCAATGTTGTAGAAATTAAAACAGAGATACCTACATTCTTCTTGTTTAGGGAAGGATGGAAGGAAGGAATAAAATTCAGTAACTCTTTCTCCTAATAGTCATATTTATAATATTAACTATTAACAATTTATAATATAAACTATTAGCATTTATGTAGTTCTCTCCATATGCAAGGCATTATTCTGAACATTCAGTACCCTTTTCAAATCTGTGATAAATATTACTATTGTCTTCATTTCAAAGGCGAGTGAACTAAGGCACAAAGGTGTTAGGCAGCTTGCCTGAAACCACAGAGCTAATAGTAGTAACAGTATCCCAGAGTTCCTGCTCTTAATTTACTGTGCTGAAATTGTTGTGGATCTCATGATTTTGTCTCCACTAAACTGGAGAAGACTTCCAAGAGGTGGTGACAGTTTAGAATATCTTTGTTTTTTGTGAGGATATGTGGTGTTTGGTTTTCTTATTTTTTGGTTTGTTTGTTTGTTTGTTTTTGAGACAGGGTCTTCCTCTGTCACCCAGGAGGGATGGAGTGCAGTGCTGTAATCTCAGCTCACAGCAGCCTCTGCCTTCCAGGCTCAAGTGATCCTGTCACTTCAGCCTCCTGAGTGAAGATCTTTGAAAGATGGGAGTTAATTCACAAGAATGGAAATCTAGAGAATTTCAGTGTTTGAAAGTAAACTTCTGATTCTTACTGAAATCCGGAACAGTGCTTCTCCATGAAGCAGAGATGTGATGCTGCATTAACTTTATGAGAAACTGATTGCTGAGTGTCAGCATGGTTTTTCTGTTGACCTTATTGAAACCAGGGGCCGCAGATTTTCATTTACACATTCATGCTCATTGTTAGTGTCCTTCCTCTAGGTCATACACTCTGCAAATGGATGTTGTTTCTTCTTTTTCCCTTCCCTCCCTTCCTTCCATTCTCTAAGTCAATGAAATCAGTTAAACAAGCCTCTGTGCCAGGGGCTGATGAGTAAATAAATAAATAAATGAATAAGACTAGTGCTCTGGACTTTAAGGAGACTCAATGATTTTTTTTTTTTTTTGAGACGGAGTCTTGCTCTGTCGCCCAGGCACCATCTGGGCTCAGTGCAAGCTCCGCCTCCCGGGTTCACGCCATTCTCCTGCCTGAGCCTCCCAAGTAGCTGGGACTACAGGCACCTGCCACCACAACCGGCTAATTTTTTGTATTTTTTAGTACAGACAGGGTTTCACCCTGTTAGCCAGGATGGTCTGTATCTCCTGACCTCGTGATCCACCTGCCTTGGCCTCCCAAAATGCTGGGATTACAGGCATGAGACACTGCGCCCGGCCTCAGTGATGGTTTTAAATGGCCCTCTGTTCATGGTGTAAGCAGGTAAAAAAGAGGGAATTGTTACTTCAACCTGGGGCATTGGGGAAAGGCTTCATTGGAAAAGCTTAGTACTTGAGTTGAATCTTAAAAGATGTGTAGGTTGGGGGTGAGATAGAGGGAAATGGGAAGAACATTCTAGAAAGAGGTATCGGCAAGAATAGCCAAGCCTTGGAGGAGACAAATAGTAGGAAATGTTATAGAAAGGGAAGAGGGTGTTGCCTAGATGGAGCAAAGGGGTGAGGTGAGGCCATTTGAACAAGGCTGGAGAAGTAACGGAAATCAAGCCAGTCGAGACAGGGATTCATCACTGAAAATCCACTTCCAGGACCTGCACCCAACACAGGACCTGTATATGGTTACATAATTTGAACATTCCCAGCAGTTTGTCATCTAGTATCTGAGATTCAGGGCTTCAGGGATGCTGGATACTTTTACTAACATATTCTATGGTGTTTTATATAGGTCCTGGCAAGATTAACATTATTATTTTCTATGATGACAAATAACTAATACGAAATGAGGATCCGTTTGATCTTTCATATAAGGTCTAGAGAATGTTTCTTCACAGTTACCCCAGACCTTTGGTATAGCATCTGTTTTTCAGTTCTAATGCAAAAGTATGTTACTGAGATTGAATATTAACTACTGGTAATATTCATTCCAAATACCTATTTTCATCAAATTTCTTTTTTTTATCTTTTAAGTTCAGGAGTACACGTGCATGTTTGTTACATAGGTTAACTCGTGTCATGGGGATTTGTTGTACAGATTATTTCAGAGGTATGGAGCCTAGTACCTATTAGTTATTTTTCCTGATCTTTTCCCTCCTCCCACCCTCCACTCTCCAGTAGATACAGGGGTCTGTTGTTCCCCTCTATGTGTCCATGTGTTCTCATCATTTAGCTCCCACCTGTAAGTGAGGATATGTGGCATTTGGTTTTCTCTGACTGCGTTAGTTTGCTAAAGATAATGGCCTCTAGCTCCATCCATGTTCCTGCAAAGGACATGATCTCATTTTTTATGGCTGCATAGTATTTCATGGTGTATATGTACCACATGTTCTTTAGTCTACCATTGATGGGCAGTTAGGTTGATTCCATGTCTTTGTTGTTGTGAATAGTGCTGCAGTGAACATACACGTGCATGTGCCTTTATGATAGAACGACTTACATTCTTTTGGGTATATACCCAGTAATGGGATTTCTGGGTCTAATGGTAGTTCTGTTTTTAGCTCTTTGAGGAATTGCCATACTGCTTTCCACAATGGTTGAACCTGATTTACATTCCCAGCAACAGTTCCATCAAATTTCCCAAAACATAAATATGTAATACTTGTGATATGCCAGACAATGTTATATGCATTTTACTAACAATGCAATGAGAGATAGGCATCTTCATTATCCCTAGCTGATAAATAAGGAAACAGTAGTCGAGTAACTTGCCCAAAGTTATAAGCTAGTGAATGTGGGAGGTGGTAATTGTGCACAGGCAACCTACTCCAGAGATCTTAGGCCTGATTATCATTTATCTACTCTTCCAATTTATATATTTTTTTCAAACTAAATCACTGGACAGATTTTTAATTTCTTTTCACCACTTGTTTAATAGACATGACACTATATTATGTTAATATAATTCACATATACAAACATTACATGCCCATATGTGATACATGATAGTTATTATAGATCAGTAGTTCTCAACCCTGGATATACATTGAAATCATAAAGTGAGGGAGATTTTTGTTTGTTTGTTTTTGTTTTTGTTTTCGTTTTGTTTTGTGACAAGTTCTCATTCTGTTGCCCAGGCTGGAGTGCAGTGGCCCGAACAAGGCTCATTGCAGCCTCGATCTCCTGGGCTCAAGCAATCCTCCTACTTCAGTCTCCCAAGTAGCTGGGACTTTAGGTGCACTCCACCATGCCTGGCTAATTTTTAACATTTTTTGTACAGTCAAGGCCTCATCATGTTGCCCAGGCTGGTCTCGACTTTTGGGCTCCAGCAGTCCTCCTGCCTTGGCCTCCCAAAACGCTGGGATTACAGGTGTGAGCCACTGAACCTGGCCCATGTGATGAATTTTTAAAAAAATTGTTATTGGCTTAAGCCCCACCTCCAGAGATTCAGATGTAATTGCTTTAGGTGAAGCCTGGACATCAGTATTCAAGAAACTCCCCAGGTGATTCTAATATCCATCTGGGGTTGAGAACCACTGTACAGACCAATCATTTATGGTTTACTTCAGGCACTGTACTATATATTTTATACACATTATTGTCATTTCACATGACAACATGATTAGATAGGGTATAATTATTGGTGTTTTACAGATGTGGGAATTGAGGAACCAAGGGGTTATATATAATTTGCCCAAGTTCACACACCTAGTAAATTGCAGAGACAATGTATGAGGTAAAACCACATTTTCTTAGTTGTAACTACCATGCATTAAAATTAATCTGTGTCATAAATTAATTTATCAGCATTCTGGAATATATTTATTTGTATATACATGCTAAAACTCTTAAAATCTCAATAATTTAACCAATTTTCCATTCGGTCTGTTAAAAATACCTTTGAAACTAAATTATATATCTATTTCTATTATATACAATATATATTTTATATTATGTAATATATTGTTATATATGCCATGTATTTCTAATATTAACCTTTTCATTTCATCTTTTTTACTTCTGCATATCAATATGTAAAACATTCTAAATAAGCTTTCAAATACGTGAGTAACTTTTAACACCTACTGGTTGTTAATATTTCTATTGAGAAGAAAATAATATAAAAGCCATTTATCCTTAGTGAAAAAAACTTAAGTTACACTGTGTGAAGAATGTCCTAACCACAAGCAGCATCCAACAGCTAATATTGTTTTTGAGCACATGTTTGCTACTATGCCAAATAGAGTGTCTGCTACTTTCTATGTATTATTTCATTTAATATATTCAATGCATTACCTCACCTCATCTCTATATTTAAAACTTCCACGTTTGCATATCTAGCTCAGGACTCCCTTCTGAGGTATGAACTGCTTATTCAACTACCTACTTGATGTCTTCCCTCAGATGTTTGAGAGGTACCTCAAATATAACGTGTGCAAAATGAAGCTCTGTTTTCCTCCATTTTTTTTGTTTCCTCAGTCTTTTCCATCTCAGTAAATGGTTCACTGTCTACCCAGTGGCTTCATGCCGGAGAGCTAGGACACATATTATATTTGTCTTCCTTACCTTCCAAAATGATGTTGTTCGTTTTATCTCCAAAGTGTATCTCAAATCCATCCGTTTCTTTCTATTGCCACTGCCACCACTGTAGTCCCATCCATCGATATCGCTTGACAGAACCTTACTATAACCTCCTAACTCGTTCCCTTGTTTCCACTCCTGTTCTCTTATAATTCATTCTTTACCCAGTAGCCAGTGTTGCATCCAGTTCATCATTTATTTTTTTAAAGTCATCCAGTGGTTTCCTTGGCCTAGCCTACAAGGCCCTGTATCTTCTACCATCAACTCAACCCCTCACACGCCATGCTCAACTATCCTGGTCGTTCAGTCTTCAAACACTCTAAACTTTGTTCTGACTTAGAGTTTCTGTGCTTGCAGCTGCCTCAGCCCAGCTGACTCTTCTCCCAACTGCACAGCTGGCTCCTCATCTTTCAAACTTCATCTAAGATATATTTCCTCCTAGAAACCTTCATGGGCTGTCCACTCTAAAGTGTCCTCCTTCTCAGGCCATCTTTTATTTCCTCAGAAGCATTGCTCACCAATATGTAAGATTTAATTCATTTATTTATTTTATTGTCTATTTCATTTGAATATGAGATCCATGATACACTCAGATATGCCCTGTTTGACTTATCCCCAGCTAGTTACTTAGCATGTAGCACAAAATATGCTCACAATAGAAGATATTTTAGTTCTATGTTAAATGAATATAAATGTCATGAATCTTTAATATGCAATAAAAACATAATAATCTTTCCCTGAGATTTTAAGAGAAAAAGCTAGACTAATGGTTCCCAAACTCTATTTTATGTAGTAATAAAATAAGAGGGAAAAAAAGCAAGAATGAAAATTATGTTGTGAAGATTCTGCTATTGTTGTTAAGTATGTCTAGTTATAAACAAGAAAATCGCCACACTTTGTATGTCTGCCATCGTTGTACCAGACAGAATGGTGGAGAGCTAAAAGCATTCTAGGCCAAAGATTGCATCTATAAAGGCACAAAAATGGAGATGGTATGGTGGCTTGGAGTAAAATCAGTAAGTATAGTTTGAAGAAAGTGACCAATAACAAGTTTGAAGAAGTTGACAGGTTTAGATGATGGAGAGTTTTATAAACATGCGAAAGCATTTGGATTTAACTCTATAGGGAGTGTGAAGCTCTATAGCATAAAACAGCTTTCAATGGGAGAATGATGTGGTCCAATTTGTATTAAAAAATTATTTTGTGGCCAATATGGCAAATGGTTTGGAGGGAGATGAGATACAAATCAGAGAATCCAGTCAGAAGGCTGTCGGAATAACCCAAAAGCGAGATGGTAGGTCAGGCTTGAAATGAGGAGATGACATTGAGGATGAAGGTGAAGAAACTGGTCTTTGCTATTAGCAAAATAGCAAAAATTCTTGGAATGATTCCCATAACGTTCCAATTGAACACTGGTTCCAGTTCTGGCTTCTATCTTCTACCTATGAGATTTCAAATGCATTTCCATGTTGCATATCAGCTGGCCTCATAACATCCTTTTTTTTTTTTTTGCAAATATATCTTAAAGAAAACCATTACACTATAGAGCATTCATTATGAGGATTAAAAGAAGAAATGGATGTGAAAGCACTTTTAAAGTACTAGACAAATGGAAGCTATTTTTACTACCAGTAACTCAATTTAGTTTACAAAGAGAAAAATCACTTTCTAGCATGTAAGCTCTGGTAAGCAAACTCCCTAGGCAAAATGAATCATTCTTACAACCATAGCACTTTTTTGTACTTCTATCATAACACCTCCATTAATTATAAATTGTTTATGCATTTTTTTCATAGTGTATAAATCTTTTGGAGGCAGAGACAGAGGAGTCTTATGAATCATGCACCCTGGTTTATGGTAGACAGTAAATGGTCAGCAAATGTTAATTGCATGCATGAGTGAATGATTAGTTCACAGGAAAGGATAAAGCCAGGTAGCAGGGAGCTGGTACAGACATCAGAGATTAAATAAACAATAGGGCAAACATGTTAAAGTGAAAAGATTTAGTGTTATTAATGATCATATATTCCATTTTAGTCTACAAGATATGTATAGTGTACGTAGTGTATATACTGGTATATATATATGTGTATATATATATGTGTGTATATATATGTATATATATGGTATATATATGTGTATATATATATATGGTGTATATATATATATCTTGTAGACTGTACTACAAGACTGAATGCCAAAATTATCAACTTGCTGTATGTAAAGTTATTTTGTAATACTAATAATTAAAAATCCTTTTGTAGTATTATATTTGTTTATCCATTCATTCAGCAAATCTGTTTCCAATGCCTGTTAAGTACAAAACACCGTGTGGACATGTTCCTATTCTCAAGACGTTTGCTATACAGTAGGAAGGAGAGGAGGGCCTGCTCTCTGCCAAACACTGTCCTAGGAGTTTTGCACAATCCATTGAGTATTCTCTATATTTTTAACAGCCCTGAGAGGTAAGCATTATTACACCCATATTACAAATAAGAAACCTCAACACATGGACACAGGGAGAGGAATATCACACACCGGGGCCTCTTGGGGGGTTGGGGGCTAGGGGAGGGATAGCATTAGGAGAAATACCTAAGGTAGATGACAGGTTGATGGGTGAAGCAAACCACCATGACACGTGTATACCTATGTAACAAACCTGCACGTTCTGCACATGTATCCTAGAACTTTAAGTATAATAAAAATAATAATAATAGAATAAAATAAGAAACCTCAACTAAGAGAATATTATTAATTTCGCTGAGACCACAGAGCTAGGAAGAGGCAGAGGCAGGTCGATTGATAACAAGGAAGAGCATCAAGGATTATTTCTTTTTCAGAGTCTGGATCCATTGCAGCCATTTTGAAATTAACAAATAATAAGGGAAGGCCAACAAGGACAGATGTATAAAAGTATAATGAATCATAACAAGAGCTTCATCCTCCTGGAATTATTGGTTTAGTAGTACGATTTGGGAAAATGAATACAATCACAAGGTGGGAACTTAACCAAAGATGGTCAGATCATTGGGGGAAACAGCTCTCAGAAAGTGAGCAGCATCTAGGTGTGATATGAAAGTGTTCTGGGCTTGGAGGGCCAGAAGATTACTATTTACGACATCACTGCAGTTCTAGTTGTGTGGTGGTGGGAAGGACACTGAAATTTCTTGACCTCACTGCCCTAATTTGTTAAATATAAGAAATAATAGAGCTTTCTACCTTATTTTAAGAATTAATGGGTGGATGTATGGGAAAGCAGTTTCTAAAACGTGTTACAAATTTATGATTAAGAAAGCCAATTTCACAGAAACAAATTTTTGGTATAAGAGCCATCAAATAAGAGAAAGTATAAAGAAGTGACTTATACATGCTTATCCCTAGTAACATGGTGTCTGTTACACAGTAAGTGCTTAATAAATACTTTTTGAGCTTAGCTCCCGAATGACTGAAAGACACAAGAGAAAATCAGATTCTCTCTCTTCAAGTGAGTGGGAAGACATGTTACACCCAACTTGTAACCTATTCAACACACAAAACAGTTGTCAATAAATATTAGTTATAATCTAAAGTGCTGATTAAATTGGATCTTCTTTGTCCATTTGGTTGTTTAAGATACATAGGTACTTATGTGTTGCAGAGAGGTATGTACATGAGTACATGACTGTGTGTCTGTGTCTAAAAGAATATACTTGGGAGTTCTGGGGAGCTGTCCTCATATTTGTTTGGTTCTGTTAAGTATCTAATTCCTTTCTATTGGTAAGGGTTGGAAGCATGCAGCACAATTGGGCTCTAGAGTAGTACCATATATTTTCCATGGATATTATATTTCAGCAGGTATTATAGACACCCGTTAAAGGGATAAAGCTTAAGCCTGGTAATGCTATACGCTAGCCAGAGAGAGAATTTATTTGAGGAAGGCTGGTTTACTTAGCACCATCAAACCACATATTCGTAGTTATCAATCTGCCTACCACAAATACCTTTAAATTAAATAGGTGAGTATACATACACATGCCTTTGCTAAGAATGTGGCCAATACTCACCTACAAATCTTAATCTTGTGAGGAATAACAATAATAAGATTACTAAACATTATAGGAAGTCTTTATTCTACTTTAACGTTTCATTCAATGCCATTTAATTGTGTTTTTGTAATAAGATGTTATTAAGAATAAATGTTTAGAACCTCTGCCTCCTTGAAGATAGAGTAGATTATTTGCCTCTCTTCCTCCCACTAAGGACAATGAATAACCCTGAATATTATATACAAAACAAAAATCTAAAAGTCCAAAAGGTAAAGAAAAGAAGGATAACTGTCTAGGCATCTTGGAACCCAAGGGACAGTAAGGCCCTTTGGTTTCCTTTTTTGCCTTGTATATCCCAGAATTGGAGGTGGAGAAACTAGAACTCTGTAAATGCTAACATGTTCAAACAGCAAACAAAGCCCCAACAAAAGCCTGCTCTCTGTAGTCAAACAAACAAACAAACAAACAATCAAAACAGGAAAAGGGCAGTCTAGCAGCACAGAAGCTTTAGAAAATAACCATTCTATTCCAGCCAAATACTACAGAAAAAAAAAATGTGGCCTGGCTATTAGCTATGCCAGCAAAGACCAAGTGGGTAGCCTAGAGCTCCACCCTTGCTAGGCTGTAACAAAGTGTTTCCCCCCAACACCCTAAACATACCTGGATGGTGTTAGATGGTGCTGGATGGTGTTAGAGGAGGCCGAGTAGAAAACTAGTACTTTCATTCTTGCCGAGAAATAATGAAGACCCCCACTCACAATGTCAGTGGAGACCACATGTAAACCTGGACTTCCACCTGCACCCTGCAGTAATTAGGTTCTACTCCCTCACGCTACTGAGCCGACGTCAGAAGATACCTAATGAAGAGTCTGGACTTTTGCTAGTGTTCAGTGGTAATGAGGCCATACAATCCCTGTAGTGACATTGGAGGACATGTGGGGAGCAGTAATGAGTCATTTGCACTTTTATCCAGGGTGGTATCAGGGGAGGACTAGTGGGGAGCTGAGACCCCCACTTCCTCTCAGTAGTGACATGGAGCCCCCTGTTCTCAGGTATCAACAGGGGCCAAGTGAGGAACCTGGACTTCTGTCTCTACCTGGAAGTAATGAGTCAATATCCCCTTCTGCTGTTGCCAGAGTGATATCATAGATAGCTAACAAAAGTATAAAGTTAAAATAAAATCTGGAGTTTGTTAACAAAATACCCAAAATATCCAGATTCCAGTCAAAAATGATTCATCAAACCAAGAACCAGGACGATCTCTCTTGAATGAATAATAACAACGAATGCCAACACTGAGATGACAGAGATGTTAATATTTGAGGAGTTTTCAACCATTATTTTTTCAGCTTTCCCTTTTTTCTCCCTCCCATATTCCAGTGACATGAATGTTAGAGCTTTTATTTTAGTCATAAAGGTCCCCAAGTCTCTCTTTTTTTCAGTATGTTAAGATTGCATAATTTTCATTGTTCTCACTTTCAGTGTACTGATTATCTTTCCTGTCCCATTTATCTGAAAAAGAAAGTTAAAGCAGCTATTATAAAGATGCTTCAATGAGCAATTATAACATGCTTGAAACAAATGAAAAAAAGTAGTTTCAGCAAAGAAGTAGAAGCTGTAAAGAAACTCAGATTTTAGAACAGAAAATGCAATAACAAATAAAAAAATTCAGTGGATGGACTCAACAGCTGAATGGAAGGAACAGAAAAGAATCAGTAAACTGAAAGAAAGAATAATAGAAATTATCCAATCTGAACAATAGAAAATAAACTTAAAAATTGAACAGATACTCAGGACTTATGTGACTATATCAAAAGATCTAATATTCATATCACAAGACTACTGGAACCAACAGGATGTAATCAGTAGTTACAGAACACTCAATCGACAACAGGATATAATCAGTAGTTACAGAACACTCAATTGACAACAGGATATAATCAGTAGTTACAGAACACTCAATCGACAACAGAATACAAATTTTTTTCAAGCACCTATGGAACATATGCCAAGTTAAATCATATTCTGAGTCATAAAAAGAACAACAACAAACTTATAACAATTAAAATCATCCAGAGCATGTTCTCTGACTATAGTGACATCAAACTAGAAATTATTTTAAAAAATAACAGTAAAACCTCCAATCACTTAAAAACTAGACAATTTACTTCTAAATAACCTTTGAGTCAAAGAAGAACTCTCAAGGGAAATAAAAAAATACATTGAACTGAATGAAAATGGAAATAATACATGTCAGAATTTGTGGGATGCAGCTAAAGCAGTACTGAGAGAAAAATTTATAGCACTAAATGCTTACATTGGAATGCAGGACACATTTCAAATTAATAGTCTTAGCTTCCACCTCAAGAAACTAAAAGAAGAATAAATAAAATAAAGCAGGCAAAAGAAAGGAAATAATAAAGATAAGAGTAGAAATTAACAAAATTAAAAATAGAAAAAGAGAGAAAAAGAAACAGTTGGTTCTTGCAAATTTCTAGCAAGAGTGACAAGGAAAAGAAAGAGAAGATGCGATTTACCAATATAAAAAAATGAAACAACTGATATCACCACAAACCCTGAAGACATTAGATAATAAGTGAATATTCGAACAACTCCACATACAAACATTTGATAACAAATAAAATGAACCAATTCCTCAAAAAGCAAACTCTCAACACACTCAATAAGAAATAGATAATTTTTATAGCCCAACAACTCATAAAAATTGAATTTGTAACTTTAAAACTCTTTGATCCCCACCCAAATCTCATTGAATTGTAATCCCTGATGTTGGGGGAGGAACCGGGTGGGAGTCTATTAGATCATGGGGAGGGGAGGATTTCCCCCTTGCTGTTCTCATGATAGTGAGTTCTCATGAGATATGGTTGTTTGAAAATGTGTAGCACTTCCCCCTTCTCTCGCTCTCTCTTCCTCCTGCTCCTACATGTGAAGATGTGTTTCTTCCCCTTGCCTTCCACCATACTTGTAAGTTTCCTTAGGTCTTCAAGCCATGCGTCCTGTACAGCCTATGGAATTGTGAGTCAATTAAACCTCTTTTCTTCATGAATTACCAGTCTCAGGTACTTCTTTATAGCAGTGTGAGAATAGACTAATACATTTCCCAAAAAAGAAGTATCCAGTCCCAGATTATTTTACTGGAGAATTCTACCAAATATTTGAAGAAGAACTAATACCAATTCAGTGCAGTCTAGTCTCTCTAGAAAACAAACTAGAACTACTTCCTAATTAAACTTACGAGGCTAATTGTATTTTGAAATGAAAACTCAAAAGAAGTACAGAATAAATAAAACTATAGGTAAATATCCCTCATGAATATAAACACAAAAATATTTTATAAAACTAACAAATATAATTCAATAATATATAAAAATAAAATAATTATACTTCATGACCAAAATAGATTTATTCCAAGGATGCAAGTCTGGTTCAATATTGAAGAACCAGCCAGTGTAACCCACCATATTACCAGAGGAAAGAAAGAAAAAAAACACACAATCATGTTAGTTGATGCAAAGAAAACAAAATAAAACAAAAAACATTTGACAGAATTCAGCGTGTATTTATTATAAAGCTATCATAAAAAATAGAAATACAGGATAACTTTCTCAGCTTGAGTAAAAAAATATAAAATATCTACAGCTTAGCATTATACTTAGTGATGAATTACTGAATGCTTTCCCCTTAAATTGAGAAGCATTATACTTAGTGATGAATTACTGTATGCTTTCCCCTTAAATTGAGAAAAAGACATGATGTCAGCTTTCATAATTCTTATTCTACGTAATGCTGAAGTTCTTTCTAGTTGTCGCAATTAAGGCAAGAAAAGAAAGACACACACATCAAAAAGGAAGAAATACTACTTTAACTATTTGTAGAAGACATGGTTGTCTACATAGAAAATCTGAAAGAATGTATTTTAATAACTCTCCCAGAACTCATAAGTTCAGAAAGATCACCGGATACCAGATAAACATGCAAAAATTAATTGCATTTCTATATGCCAGCAATGAAAACACAGACATCAAAATTAAAAGTATGATACCATTTACAATTCCTCCAAAAATTAAATACTGAGGTGTAAATATAAAAAATATGTACAGGAATTGCAAGCTGAAAACTACAAAATACTGATGAAAGAAATCAAAGAATTTCTAAATAAATGAAGAGGTGTACTATGTTTATGGATTGGAAGACTCAACATAATAAAAATGTCAATTCTCCCCAAACTGATAAACAGATTTAATAAGATTCTCATCAAAATTCCAGCTATATTTTTTATGCATGCAGACAAGATTATTCTAACAGTAGTATGGAAAGGCAAGGAAACTAGAACAGCTAAAACAATTGTGAAAAAGAATGTAGTGTGAGGAGTCACTCTGCCCAAGTTCAAGACTTATGTAGCTATAGTAACCAAGACTGCATGTTATTGGCAGAAGGATAGACATATAAATCAAAAGGACAGAATAGAGAATGAAAACAAAGGGACTACATAAATATGCCCAAATGATTTTTATTATTTTTAAATTTTTTAATTAAATTTTTTTTGTAGTTGAGATGTTTGAGTTCCTTGTATATTCTGAATATTAATCCCTTGTAGGATAAATAGTTTGCAAATATTTTATCTCATTCTGTAGATTGTCTTTTCACTCTGCTGATTATTTCCTTTGGTGGGCAGGTTTTTAGTTTGATTTCATCCCATCTGTCTATTTTTGTTTTTGTTGCCTGTGCTTTTCAGGTTTTATTCATAAAATATCTTCCCAGACCAATTTTCTGAAGCATTTCCCTGTTTTATTTTAATAGTTTTATTATATTGGGTCTTACATTTAGTTCAAAATGGGGGTCTAGTTTCATTCTTCTGCATATGGGTATTTAATTTCCCTAGCACCATTTACTGAAGAGATTGTCCTTTCCCCAGTGTATGGTCTCGGCAATTTTTGACAAAGATGGAAAAGCAATTCATAGGAGGAATTATAGCTTTTTCAACAAATGGTGCTAAAGCAATTGTAATTTATAGGCAATAAAAATGAACCTCAACTTAAACTTCACATGTTATACAAAAATGTAAAATGAATTATGTATTTAAACATAAAACATAAAACTGTAATCTTTTAGAAGAGAACATAGGAGAGAAGCTCTATGACCTAGTCTTGCGTGAAGGGTTCTTAGATATAACATTATTAGTAAGATTCATAAAAGAAGAAAATGAATAAATTGGACTTCACCAAAATTAAAAACTTTTGCCTTCAGAATGACACTGCTAAGGGAATGAGAAGACAAGATACAAGCTGGAGACCCAATATTTGGAAACCACTTGCCTGACAAAGGGGTAGCATATAAAATACATAAAGAACTCTCAAAACAAACAACCTGATTAGCAAATAGCAAAATAAAAATTAAAGCCATGATGAGTTATCACTACATACCTATCAGAATGGCACAAATAAAAATTATGACAATACCAAATACTGTTGAGAATGTGGAGAGAGTGGATCTCATTTGTGTTGCTGGTGGTATGTAAAGTGGCACAGTCACTCTTGAAAAGAGGTTGGCAATTTCTTTATAAACTAAATATGCAGCTATCATACCATTCAGCAATTCCACTTTGAGGGATTTATTCAGGGAAATGAAAGCTTATTTTTACAGAAACTTGTACAAAAATATTCAAAGAAGTTTTATTTATAATAGGCAGAACTGGAAACAACCCAGATGTCTTTTAATAGATGAATGGTTAAACAAACTGTGATATGTCAATGTTTATTCATCATCTATTTGGTGTCACAGGACTCAACCAGGTGCTTAAATACACTTGTGACTTAAATCTCAGAATGTAAATATTATTATCCTAATTTTGTAGATTAGAAATTTGAGATTAAGGGAGTTTTATAGCTTAGCCAATGTCATTCAGGGCAAAGGCTAGAATTTTCAACCTGAGTTCATGGCATTCCAAAACCCATTTATATCCCACCACAGGAACCTGCCATGAAAATTAGGTGAGGGACTATGTGTGCTTGTTATTCTTTGTAGTTGAGAAGGATATAACTAATCATGTTATACCCTGTCTAAGGACTACTTCTGTCATTAGATTTTCAGCCCAAAGTGATTGCCTAAGAGCAGACTTTCTTTTTCAGTAGTTCCCATTCAATGCATTTACCTAGGTATCTGCAAAGTCATGGCATTTGATGAGACTTCTCTAAGAAAGAGAATGGGCTTAAACTCTCTTCTGTTGACTCATTTAACTAAGTAACAGAACTAATGCTTGTTCTTTGTCATAATTAGGTTTGCAACCTCATTTGTGGAGCCTAAAACACTCATTTGCACACATAGCTGCCTGAAATGGCTTTGTTTTACAGTGCATTTCCTCGTCTTCAGAGTCAACTAAAACACAACCATTGAGGTCCACAGTTATGGAACAGGCATGGCTGAAAAAGTAGACATATCATCACATTTTGTAGCCAGAAGAAATTATTCAATTGAAACAATCACTTCATTTTGTAGAGGCAGAATAACTTGTCCAGGTCACACATATGTGATTAAAATTAAAACATGAGTCTTAGATTTCTCCTGAGGCTCAAATCTGGGTGTTACCAAAACTTCTTTCTATGCTCCATACGTTGAATTCCAGTTGCTATTTGTTCCAAGTTTTACAAGAGCAATTCTTGTTTTGTGAATATACCATGAACAAAATACTTAATTATTTCTTTTAAAAACCAAACCAATTTCAAAGTCCTTAAACCTAGAAGGAATGGCAGCTGCAAAGATATAACTTGCTATGTTACCTAAGCACCTCTGTGTTTTAGCCATGCCTCTTAATTTTGATTCCTTAACAAATTCTTATTTGGTGCTTACCTTGCATTTTGCTTGGCTCTGGAGAAGTGATTCAATGATAAACCAATAAAAATACTGCCTTTATCTAATTTAGAGTGTTGATGCATGAGAGAAATGAGATAGTAGATGTGAAAACTGAAAACTTTTTGTAAAGTGTACAATTCTGTAAAAATTAGACATAACATGACACCATTTGCAATTGCCAGTGTACATATCATAGATGGAGATTTGAAATATTGAAAACTCCTGATCATAAACAGAAGATACATTTATATTGTAAGTTTATGACATCTAGACATTGAAATTGGACAGAATGCTTAGTAACAAAAGTTTGTTATGTGCCAGTCACTTATTTGTAATTTCTGTTCTCCACTCAAATGTAAATATAGAAAAATTGTATCTTTTTTATTACTATTATTCCAGCTGTTCGAATAGTAAGCACACACTATGCACTAAATATTTGATGAACAAGTTAATAAATTAATACTTTTTGTGTATGTATGTTAGTTTTATGATACAGGACCAAAAGTGGAATTAGTGGACATAAGATTATATAAAGTCTTGATAGATATTGCTAAATTCCTCTTCCAATTAATTGATTATACCAATTTATCTTTTCATTATCTAATTTATTAAAAAGGATACTGAGTGCCTTTATATTTTAAGCTCTTTTGTATCTGGCTAGCATGTTTTTCTTCTGGGAATAACAGTCCCTTCCTCTGGGAATTATGACTTCCCTCATCCTTCTGCTGAGAGCAGCCAAGTTAATGTGAACTCATCTTCTGATGCAACGATTGCGTCAGGAGGGGTTCCAGAATCAAGCTGGGCTAATCATAGAACCTCATCTCTGAGGTCATCAATTATTGGTCCAGGAATGTTCATTGGATCTAGTCAGGGCCAGAGACTGACTTTCTTGGAATTTTTGGGCATGGGAAACGTGACTTGAATCAATAATTTTCTGATGGTTGAAGCTATTAAGGACTTAAAACTCAGAATTTGTTGGTTGCTGTTTTTCACCAAAAGGACAAAGTTAGTTGGCACCAAGAGAGAGAAGTATGAAGCCCATACCCAGAGATGATGGACTTATCCCCCAAGATAAGTCCAAATGGAATTTCAGTGCCTGGTTCTCCGTGCTCCTGCAGTCAAACTACATGAGCAATGTTAAGATTCAGGAAATATCTCAATCTCTTTATGATGATAGTAGTAAACAGTAATAATTTTCTTCTTTTTAACTTAAATTGGTTCAAATTATCTTTCCCCCATTTTTTGTAACCAAGCATCATAATAGTGAAGCTTACTACACCAGCAGGCACCTTGACTTAATGTTCTCTTAAAAAGTATATGAAAGCATCCATTTGCCCATATATTTACCTATAAGGGATGTTATAAATATTTACATTGTTGTGTTCATATGGTGAGTAAAAACAATGGAATCACTTATTTGTTTTAATTTGTGTTACTTAAGAAGCAGCTACGCTGAGAATGTTTTCCGGTCTTTATTGGCTATTTATAATTCTGTGAATTGCTGATATATAATATTTCGTCATTTTTCTCTGGGGTTGTATTTTTCTTATTAATTTGCAGAAACTTTTGAAAAATCGCTATTAATCTTCATTATATTCATGGCGACTATATTTTCTTGGCCTATGATATGCCCAGTTGTGTTTGTTTATGCTGTATTTTATCACATAGAGGTTATTTTATGTATCCAAATATATTATACTTTTTCTTTAGGATTCCTGATTTTTTTCTTGTTTAGGAGCATTTGTCCCACTTCTAAATTATTTTCAAAAATCTAAATTTCCTTTTTACACATCTTAGTTTATTTTCTACCTTTCATTTTATGTTATTCCAATCACTGTACTTTGCTCTTTTCATATGAAATGTAATGCGTACTTTGCAAGATAAGTATTGTTATCTCTATTTTCCAGATTATGGCAAGGAAAATGAGTTTCAGAAATTTGTTCAGGTCACACATAGTAAGTGCTGATATTCTGGCAGCAAACCTCATAATCGTTGATATAGTTAGGTTCTGTGTCCTCACCCAAATCTCATCTAGTAGCTTCCATAATTCCCACATGTTGTGCGAGGGACCCAGTGGGAGATAATTGAGTCATTGGGCCGGGTCTTTCCCGTGCTGTTCTCATTACAGTGAATGGATCTCATGAGACCTGATGGTTTTAAAAACAGGAGTCTCCCTGCACAAGCTCTCTCTTTGCCTGCCGCCATCCATATAAGATGTGACGTGGTCCTCCTCAACTTCTGCCATGATTGTGAGGCCTCCCCCAAATTGCCCAGTCTTGGGTATGTATTTATCAGCAGTGTGAAAATGGACTAATACAATCCTTCAAATTTTCATGCCATCTGTGCAAAATATAGATGAGAAACTGGCTAATTTATAACTGCTGGAATTTTATTTATTCCCTAAGTGATTTGAGTTAATACTGCAAATTAATATAACAATATAGATATATATTGTATATGGGACCTTGGATCAGTACAAACTGTAGTCTAAATGCACTTTGTATTCAATATGTCCTT
Organism: Homo sapiens; assembly: GCF_000001405.40. Taxonomy (NCBI): domain Eukaryota; kingdom Metazoa; phylum Chordata; class Mammalia; order Primates; family Hominidae; genus Homo; species Homo sapiens. Next base: position 38,330 of record NW_013171799.1, on the reverse strand, counting down.
GATTAAGAAATTGGTGAATAAATAAATGATAGGGACTGGGGTGGCAAGGGTCACACTAAGCTCATCTGCGCTTGGAGAGTCAAGGTTAAACTAGAAGCAAAGATGTGGAATAGGATGAGGAAAAAGCTGGATGTCAGGTGTGTGCAGCAGCACCGTTAAGGCACAGCTTCCTACCTGGAGTTCCCAGCTATTCACTATTCTTCCCATAGCGATGAGTTGAGGCTCACTCCTCTGAATTTGCCTAGTGCCTTCACACACCTCTATAGCACTTTTGTCCTTGTCAGCTTAGTGCACTAGGCAGTGTCCTCCCAAGCCGTGGCACTTAGTCTTTTTGTTCTGTGCCCCTTTAGTCTTTTTGTTCTGTGCCCCTGGTCTCCTCATAGCACCAGGTATACTATGGAGATGTGGTCCACACACAGGCCAGAGAGCCAGCTGGGGCTGTTGAGCTTGGAAATGTGGCCTGTGATCTAATTTCAGGATGAGAAACTTAGAAAGTTGCCTTATTCTTGATGTTTTTCAAATAATTCTAGATGTAATCATTTTGGTGGCTTAAAAGCAGTGCCAACTTTCTTAATGGCATTCTTCTACTCAATAAAGCAGGCAATTTAAGTTCCAAGGATGTATATATTTCCTATGAAACCCAATAAGTCTATTTTCTTTTTGAATGAAAGAAATATAGCCTCTAAGTAATACACACACACATACACCCCTATGTGTACATGTATGTATCCATACATATTATTCCTGTATTGGCCTTCATGTAAAAGAAGGCTGCTCAGTACTGGACTCCATGATCAGCAAATGCCAAACTTGGGAAACGTTCAAGTCATCAGTCCATAGATACATTTAACCAGTAATGCATCAGTCTTCCCCATAGGTAGATCCCATCAGAGAGACATCAGTAGCCTCAGCTGCTTCCTCCTGGCTGATACCCCAAAGACATTAGGGTGTTCAGTGATACCTGCCAGGTGCCCACCTCCCAGAAATGGTGTTTAAATGATGGCCTAACAAAAAAGGTCAGTGGACATCATGTTATGTGTGCATTTCACCTGCATAAATGCAATCACAGGGGCTGTAGTAACCATAGAAGTGTGCCACTCAGATTCCCTTTTAAGAGGACCTTTTGTGGGAAGCACAGCTGATGGCAGCTGTTAGACTTTCACATTTGAAACTGCCAATGCTGTGCGTCATCTAGACTCTTCTAGCCAACATCTGGGTATGGCAGGGGCACTGGGTCCATTCCTTCTCTACCCAATGTGGGATTCCACTAACAGGCAGTGTTGTGTTTGCTTGTTGACTCCTTATTGGTTTGGCTGAGATTTTCTTAGAACTTCAGTGTAGTCTGAGCTTTTCCTGGCCAATCCTTCTTTCTCCCTCTCCTTGCATAAGTATCCAATCTGTGTTATGATCTGAAAGCTCTTCCTCATCACTCCTGCTCCCTTTTTCTTTATCTTTCATATGTGTTTTCCCCATCAAATCTCTTGTTTATCTAATCCCTTTTTGGTGCCTACCTCTCAGAAAATCTGAATTGATACAGCAGCTCATCTGAAAAAAAAAGATGGGGTGGTGGTGGTGGTGGAGAAAACAGCAACTTAAATAGTGCCATCTACGAATTAGGAGTGTTCACTGAATGAGCATGAGATGCAGGTACCTTGTTCCCTCAGCCAGGTTCTATGTTCCTTAAAGTCCTAATTTTAGTCAGTAAATATTTATGGCATTTACTCTATGCCAGACAATGTTCTAAATATTTTATTTATACTGAATTATTTGGTGTTTACATCAGCCATATGATTAACTACTGTTTCCATTTTGCAGATGAGAACATTGAAGCACAGAGAAATTATGTTAACTTGTCCAGTGCCAAAGAGCTATTAAGTGGCAGAGCTGGGATTTACTTCCACTGCACTGTTGCCTCTTTGGTTAGGAGCTCTTTGCTGTGCTGAGATTGCAGTATTTAAAGATAGGTATTTTTGATAAAATATGTTCATTAAACTATCTTCAATTTCTTTGCATGATACTTAGCTAAATAAATAAGAATTTCTTTCCAGCAGTGAAAGGAAAGCTGACTACACTGAATTTGTTAGTCTTCAGTATGGCAACTTCCTACAAATTGAGGTTCAGAAAGTTGTCCAGGTCATTTGCAAGAAGAATATTGATATTATATATATACATATATATATATGACCATATATTATATAATTAATATCTATAATCATATATTACATATTATATGATTATAGATACTAATTATATATATTATAAATATATAATTATTACATCTATATTATATATATATTAAAAATATATATATATCAGCTATTTCAAATGACAATTCCCAGATTTGCTTCATCCAGGCAAAGTCTTTTAGTGGATTTTTGTGGGGTAAGAGTGAAAAGGGTCGGTGGTATGTTCCAATGTTGCAAAATTAGTCAGAAATATATATTTCTCTTCTATTACCAGCTGGAAAACTCTATTTTCAGAGGACTCATGTGACTCAACAGGACCCACTTGGATAATTTCCATATTTTAAGGTCAACTGTGCCATATAAAAAAATCTAATCACAAGAGCAGAATCCACCATATTCATGGTCAGTAAAGCAGGCAATTCAAATTCTAAGAATATATATATTTTCTGTGGAACCCAATAAGGCTATTTTCTTTTAGAATGAAAGAAATATAGCTCTTAAGTAATACACCAAGAATTATTTAATTTAATAAGTTTCAATTCAGAAATATATATTTCTGACTAATTTTCTGACATTAGAATATACCACAACCCTCTTCACTCTTACCCTGCAAAAATCCACTGAAAGACTGCCTGGGTGAAGCAAACCTGGGAATTGTCATTCAAAATAACTGATTTTTGCGGAGTGATGGATGACAATCTTCAAGTAGTTACGATGCTCTGGATAATGTAGTAGATAATGAACATGCATCCAATAATTTAAATCACACAACCACCTGTGGAGTGGTTGCCCATTTAAGAAGGAAGAAATCCGGGCCGGGCGCGGTGGCTCACACCTGTAATCCCAGCACTTTGGGAAGCCGAGTCGGCGGGATCACGAGGTCAGGAGATCGAGACCATCCTGGCTAACACGATGAAACCCCGTCTCTATTAAAAATACAAAAAATTAGCCGGGCGTAGTGGCGGGCGCCTGTAGTCCCAGCTACTCGGGAGGCTGAGGCAGGAGAATGGTGTGAACCAGGGAGGCGGAGCTTGCAGTGAGTGGAGATCACGCCACTGCACTCCAGGCCGGGTGACAGAGCGAGACTCCGTCTCAAAAAAAAAAAAAAGAAGTAAGAAATCTGAACTAGATATATAAATAAATTGCTCAACGTCAGAGCTCGTAAGTAGCTGAGTCAAATGAAAACCAAACCTTACCAATTAGTCTGTGTTGTTGTTATTTTAAACCGCCTGCATTAGCTAACAGGGTTTATATTTCTGAGCTACCCCCTCACTCCCAACTATTCTTGCTTCTGTGGACTTTCTTCTTAACCATGGCAAATCAGACCTACTTTAAGCTTTTCATGATGTCACAGGACTTCTTTATGAATTAAATTACTTTAATGCCAACATTTGTGAGATTATGTGTGATTTTAGACAACTACTTTGTTACTCATTCTTTTTTCATTCACCAATGTTTATAAAATACCCTCTCTCTCTCTTTTTCTTTTTCTTTTTTTTTTAAGACAGTCTCTCTGTCACCCAGGCTGGAGTGCAGTGGCGCCATCTCGGCTCACTGCAACCTCCGCCTCCCGGTTTCAAGCAATTCTCCTGCCTCAGCCTCCTGAGTAGCTGGGATTACAGGTGCGTGCTACCACGGCTGGCTAATTTTTGTATTTTTTTTAGTAGAGGCGGGGTTTCACCATGTTGGCCAGGCTGGTCACGAACTCCTGGCCTCAGGTGATCCACCCACCTCAGCCTCCCAAAGTGCTGGGATTACAGGTGTGAGCCACTGCGCCAGGCCTAAAATACCTTCTCTTTTAGGCAGATAGATAAAGGCCATTCTAAAACAAGCCCTAAGATTTCCTGCTTACTGTTGCACATATTTTTCATAATCCCCAGGACAATGAATATGGTGGATTGTAATGGTTAATACTGAGTGTCAACTTGATTGGATTGAAGGATGCAAAGTATTGATCCTGAGTGTGTCTGTGAGGGTGTTGCCCAAGGAGATTAACATTTGAGTCAGTGGACTGGGAAAGGCAGACCCACTCTCAATCTGTGTGGGCACTATCTAATCAGCTGCCAGTATGATCAGAATAAAAGCAAGCAGAAGAACATGAGAGACCAGACTGGCTTAGCCTCCCTGCCTACCTCTTTCTCCTGTGCTGGATGTTTCCTGCCCTCGAACATCAGAGTCCCAAGTTCTTCAGCTTTGGGACTCGGACTGACTTTTTTGCTCCTCAGCTTGAAGATGGCTTATTGAGGGACCTTGTGACTGTGTAAGTTAATACTCCTGAATAAACTCTCCTTTTTAAATACATCTATCCTATCAGGTGTGGTGGCTCATGCCTGTAATCCCAGTACTTTGGGAAACCGAGGCAGGCAGATCACTTGAGGTCAAGAGTTCGAGACCAGCCTGGCCAACATGGTGAAACACCGTCTCTACTAAAAATCCAAAAATTAGCTCTGTATTCTGGCACATGCCTGCAATCCTAGCTACTTGGGAGGCTGGGGCAGGAGAATTGCTTGAACCCGGGAGGCGGAGGTTTCAGTAAGCCAAGATCGCACCATTACACTCAGCTTGGGCAAAGAAGTGAGACTCCATCTCAAAATAAAGTAAAATAAAATAAAATAAAATAAAATAAATACATCTATCCTATTAGTTCTGTCCCTCTAGAGAACCCTGACTAATACAGTGGACTTTGCTCTTGTGATTGGATTTTTTTATATGGCACAATTGACATTAAAATAGGGAAGTTATCCAAGTGGGCACTGTTGAGTCATAAGAGTCCTTGAAAACAGAGTTTTCCAGCTGTTAATAGAAGAGGAAGTCAGATTGGAAAGCATAAGAAGGTTTTTCCACACAATTGCCAGCCTGAAGATGGAGGGGCCCAGATGATATGGAGTGTGGGTGGCCTCTAGGAACCCTTGGCTGGCAGTCAGTAAGGAAATGGAGATCTTAGTTTTATAGTATAATGAAGCTGGATTTTGCTAATACTCTGAATGAGCTTGGAAGCAGATTCTTTTCCAGAGCCGCCAGATAAGAACTTAGCCTAGTCAACACCTTGATTTCAGCCTTTAGTGCTCTCATCAGATCATAGACCCTAGCCAAGCTGTGAATGGACTTCTGACCTAAAGGACCAGGACTAATAAATGGTTGCTGTTTGGAGCCACTAAGATTATGGTAATTTGTTATGCTGCACTAGAGACAAATATACCCTTTATAGAGGATCATGATAGTTCTTGGTCCTGAGGATATAACATAGCCTCTGCAATCACAGAGTTTATGTTCTGGGAGAAGGATGGGGGATGAAGAAGATGCATGAAGAAATACCAATAAATAAACACACGGTAAAATATCAGATGGTGGTCAGTGTTATGAAGAGAATTATAATGGGGTGATATAATTGAGAGTGTTAGGGGGCTTCTTTAGATCAGTTGGTCAAGAGAAGTCTCCTTGATGCAGTCTTATTTGAAAAGACTCGTATGACAAGAAGTTTCCAGTCAAATTCAGTTCTGGGAGAAGTGCAATCCAGGTAGATGAGGTGCCACTGTGAAGGGCTTCACGTGAGGAAGAACTTGTGATTGACAGACAGGTGGTATGGCTGGCCCCTAGATGATGGTGGGGCCAGAGGAAGTTGGAGAGATGGTTAGAGGTCAGATTTGGTGGGACTTTGTGTATTATGGTAAAGAATTTGAATTTGATTCTAAATGTGTTGCACCATTGGAAGACTCTAAATAGATTATATGATTTGATTTATACTTTCAAGATTTTATACAGTGCGGAGACACATAGAAAGATTTCAGTTAGAAATAGAGCAAGACTTTTTGTTCCTCTTTCAAAAAATTGAAATACTTATCCACCTGTACATGTGGAGAATATTTATATTTTTATTTAAAAATTAAATATTTATTTTATATTTTATATTTTTATACATTTTATATATGTATTTATATGTATATATACACATATAAATTTATATATATGTATTTATATGTATATATGTGTATATATATACGTATATATATACGTATATATATAAAATATATATACGTATATGTATATATACGTATATATATAAAATATATATTTATACATTTTATATTTAAAGTTTTAACGCATTTTTTTTTAGCTCAGGGACATTATCCTTTTACACTTTTTCTATCCTCCTTTTACCCTTGTCCTTTTTATGTTTTCTATCTTCTCCTTTCTGTGTTTACTTTTTTTATTTTGAAAAAAATCAGAAAAAGTTTACAGAGAAGAGTATCAAAATATCTGACCAACAATCAACATTTAACATACTGACATGTTTGCTCCAAGTTCTTATGCTTTTTAAAAGAAGGGAATGTTATGAGTTAAAGTCAAGCCCATTTTGTCCTTCATCCTTATCCTAATTTTTTTTTTTGAAGAAGTTAAATGTATCATAGATTTTGTGTGTATCCTTCTAGGCCTTTATTGATTTTTAATTTTTTTACATACACATGTATGTTTAATTGTTTGGTGGATTTTTAAATTAAAAACACTATCTTTTGCATATTTATTATTTATTTATACAATGTCACTAAATTAAGTTTGTATAAAGGCTATAATAAATGTTAAAAAAAGGTTTGCCTAGGCTAATAGGAAAATGAGGACCAGTTGAGAGTCATCTGTGGACATTCAGATGAGCAAAGATGGTGGTTTGGACAAGGGCAATGGTAGTAGTGGTGAAGAGAAATGGATAGATTTGAGATCTGTTTCAGAGACAGTCCTTGCTGATGCATAGGATGTGAGAGATGAAGGACAGAGAAGAACTAAGATAACTCCTAGATTTTTTTTTTGGCTTGAGCAATTGAGAGGATGAGATTGATGAAAATAAGAGGTTGGATTGTGGAGAATCAATAGGCCTATTTTGGCCATAAAACGTTTGAGCTGCCTATCGGGCATCAAGTGAAGACGTCAAGTTTACAGTTACATATGTAAGTCTGAAATTCAGAAGGAAGATTAAAATTGGAGATAAAAATGTGGGAATGATCAGCAAAAGGAATCATACATAGGACCTTGAGATTACCTAAAGAGAGACTACTGATAGACCAGATAAAAAGGATAAGGACTGAAGTCTAGGGTACTCCAAAATTTGGGGATCAAAGAGTGAACCTGCATAGCAGTATGAGCAGGAATAGCCAATGCATTAGAGGGAAACAGGACGGTGTGTGGGGTGCTGGAAGCCAAGAAAAGAGAGAGGAGGGAACAAGGTGTGAAATCCAGTCAGTGATTCTATGCAGCAGCTTTTCTACTTTTGATCCCCACCATGACCCTGTAGAGTAGGAAATGACAGAATTATTATTTTTATTTGTAGATAAAGAGCAGCTTTGAGAGATTAAATGACTTTTCCAAGTGGCCTGGCTAATCAGGGGGCCTTCCAAGTGCCTGGTTGCTGATCCCTTTGCCTTTCCAGGGAGCATTGCAGCGACTTTGTCTCCTTCTGTTGGGTTGTATTACATTAATGTCTTGGGGCCTGTGGCACACTTAATATTCAGTGCTTCTATAAAAAATGAATGCTGGGGTTTTATATGCTTGTGACCAGTTTTTATGGGTTTCCTGCTTCCTCATTTGTTGTTAGGACGTCAATTAGCCCTTCTCCTTACCCTTAGTGCTCCTGCCTGCAGTGACCGTGGCTTGCCTTCTGTTATTTTAAATTTGTTGAGCACTTTATAATTCACACCTGAATTCCAAATGTGTGGCAGGTACCCGAATTTTTCATAGATGATGCCAAGTGTATATTAGTAGGGCTTTAAATATTTACAGAATGCTTGGCCCTGTTTAATTATTAACACTGGGTCATGTTAAGTGAAACAATGTTCACCTGGCATTTTGATATTCTTGCAAAAGTGTTCAAAAGGGTTTGTGGAAAATAATAGCACTAAATTTTCTCTATTCTGTCACGACAAATCAATTTGTACCAAGATCATCCTATAGCTAGTCCTGGAAAAGTACTGTGATTCAAGTGGAAAAGTACTCTGATTTACTCTTTGGAAAACAATTTCTGGGATCTAACAGCCTCAGTCCCATGATTGAGAATGTCTTTCCTTTTTTTTTCTCTGTCTGGTTTAGGGAACACTCAGTTACTGAGAAACAATAAAGAAAAAAATTTAAACAATAAAAATTAGAGTAAAGCACCAGGAAAAAAATACACACACACATATTTGCAAGACATGAAGGTTAAGTTTACGTGTACAATGACTTGGTTGATTTGGTAGTGTATAATGAAATTAAAGCCATTTGTTCTAAGTGTAAACTACAGCCAAAGTTTCTAAGTAAACTCAATGAACCAGGATTGTTTTTTAATGAAAAATTTTAAGATACCAATTAGAATGTTTAGTTCACAAAAATTTAATTCTCCTTATAAACTAAAATGGCACTTATTTGTCATCTCTCCAGTCAAACTATCTTCATGATTTTTCTGCCTATTGTAGAAGGCTGCTGGATAATAATATTAAAGGAAAAAATGCCTTAAAATTGTAAAGGATTTGAGGGCCTCCTTCCTCCTTCTGTGGAGAAAGAAGTATGTATTCCATTGCATGGAGAGCAAGAGAGCAAGGAAAGAGGCTCACATTTATATTCGTGGGAGGTAGGGCCGTCTGAAGGATTTGAAGATCAGTGTATTAGTTTTCTAGGGTTGTGTAACAAAGTACCACAGAGTGAGCAACTGAAACAACAGAAATGTATGGTCTTGCAGTTCTGGAGGTTGAAAGTCTGAGATCAAGGTGTGGGCAGAGCTGGTTCCTTCTGAAGGTTGTGAGGGAAGGTCTATTCCAAGGCTCTCTTCTTGGTCATGTCTTCATATGATCTTTCTTCTCTGCATGTCTCTGTGTCCAAATCTCCACTTCTTATAAGGAAACCAGTCATATTTTATTGAGGCCACCTGTATAACCTTGTTTTAGCTTGATTACTTTTTTAAAGGCCCTACTCCACATAAGGTCACATTCTGAAGTGCTGGAGTTAGGACTTCAACATATTAATTTTGAGGGGAAACAATTCGGCCCATAACAATCAGACGTCTTTAGTTCATTAACTTATTAATTTATTGGCCTCTTGTACCAAAACAGACACTGCACCAGGAACTGGAGGACAAGGTAGCCAATTTCTTGCCATTCTATTAAGGGAGGAAGATTTTAAACAAATAACTACAACAAAATGTACAGAGTGGCATGATCAAAGGAGTACAAGGAGCTATCAGAGATGACTAGGAGTTGGCCAGATGAAGAAAGTGTAGAGGGAAGTGTCTTGAAACCTTTCCCCTGAACAAACCTGAAAGGTAGAAGACCATGAGATGACGCCTCTGGGGGACTGGGTATATAGCTCAAGGCTGTCCACACAACTGGGATATCCTTTCATTGAGGTTTTATGCTCTCTTTTTCATAGCATTTATGCTTTTTATATTCTACTCTGTAATATATTTATGTTGGTTTAAATATAAAAGTAATCTTTTAAATCTATTTCTATCAAGAAAAAGGCCAAACCAAAATGATTTCCTTCCTACCACAAGGAATATGTACTACTTTTACCTCCTGTTGTGTCCCCAGTAGTTCTAATTCTACCCCAGTTTGAGAGACATGGCTCTTATCACCCCAGATTTTATCCTTAGATTAATCCAGAGCATGTGAGAATTGTCTTGGTTTGGACCAAATATATCAGAGCAACTAAATTAAATCTGTGGTAGTGTTGATAGATGTTTTCAAATTCATCGTTACATACACCATAGGGATGCTACTGACAGTTCCATTGTCATGCAGTGACCCCTTTAGGAAGACTTGTGGGAAAAATGATTTATCTGAGGACTCTGGATCAGAAATATCTTTATTCCTCCAAAGTATAATGTGGCCCCTTTAACTGATCATTCTTCTTTCTTTGCTTTGGCTGCCAGGAGGCTCAAAAGAAAATTACTGTTTGTTTGTTTGTTTGTTTATTTATTTATTTATTTATTTAGAGATGGAGTCTTGCTCTGTCATCCAGGCTGGAGTCCAGTGGCGTGATCTCTGCTCACTGCAAGCTCTGCCTCTCGGGTTCATGCCATTCTTCTGCCTCAGCCCCCCGAGTAGCTGGGACCACAGGTGCCCGCCACCATGCCTGGCTAATTTTTTTGTATATTTAGTACAGATGGGGTTTCACCATGTTAGCCAGGATGGTCTTGATCTCCTGACTTCGTGATCCACCCACCTCAGCCTCCCAAAGTGCTGGGATTGCAGGCGTGAGACACCGCACCCAGCCTACCATTTTATTTTTAATCAATTTGTTGGGGCTTTTACTGTTCAGAGTCTATCTAGTAATTTTCCCATTGTTCTCCTCTCACCATTTTACCTTTATTATCTCTTCAGCTTTATCTTGTTATTTATAATATAGCAGTACTATGTGTTATTATATAGTCTATAGAGCTATATAGACTATAAAATAACACTATAAGACTATTACATTGCATCAGAACGTTTGTATTATTTTTTATTTTATTGTGAGTGCAGTGGATATTGCTGTTTATATACCCATTATTGTATTTGCCCTAAGTAAACTATCCCAGTGTTCATTTAATGATGCATCTCCTTCTGTCACCCTTGATTTCAGGAACCCTGGCTCCATCTTCAGCTCTGGAGGTTCATGCAAGTGGTTTGGAGCTAATTCATCCAAAACTGGCATAGCGATTCAGGAATCCAGGTCTAAGACAGTTAGCACTTGCTAGGCCCCTGGACTCCATTCATGAATCGATCAAGCTCAGGCCAGAGACACAAGAGGGAGAAATTCTTAGGGTTCTAAGTCAGACATTTCCTATAACTGAAAAACAAACCACTGGATGTCAGAGGGAAGTAAATACACTGAGTAAGGGTCAATCAAAAAACTATGGAGAAACTGAGTTATAGTCTTCAGGTTAATAAATCCTCAAGTCTAGCTGGTTTCTAGGTTTCTTTTTTCCTGAGCCAAATGTATTTCCTTATTATTTAAGATAGTCTGAAGTTTTGTTGCTTTGTTATTGTTGTTCTCACTTAAACAAACCACCTCTGATATGGTTTGGATGTTTTGAGCCCTCCAAATCTCATGTTGAAATGTGATTCCCAGTGTTGGAGTGAGTTCTCACTCTGAGTTCATCCAAGAGCTGGTTGTTGAAAAGATCCTGGCATCTGTTTTGTTCCTTCTCTTGCCATGAGACACACTGGCTCCTTTTCAAATTTTGCTATGATTGTAAGCTTCCTGAGGCTGCCAACCAGAAGCTAAGCAGATGCTGTTACTTTGCTTGTGAAGTCTGCAGAATGATGAGACAAATAAACCTCTTTTCTTTCTGAATTACCCAGCCTCAGATGTTACTTTATAGCAAAGCAGAATGGACTAACACAACCTCAGATCCTTTCAGGAGCAAGGCACAACATAAATAAATAAATCAAGACTAAAAAGTGACAGCACATGGAACAACGGTAGCCATTCATGACTACATCCGGCTCCCTTTGCCAGCCCTGCCTCTCACTGTGTGCACCTCTGCTTCCACTGCACCATCCACACTCCAGAAGGACTGGCAGTTCTCTGGATGCATCATGCCACCCCCTACCTTCTTGACTCTGCACAAGCTATTATCTACCATCACAATGTATTATTTCTGTCCATTAATGAGTCAACACAAATATCCCTTTCTAAGAAAGACCAACCTGAGCTTGCTGAGCCTGCTTACATCCATCTATATTTCTGTCTGTCTATCTATCTATCTATCTATCTATCTATCTATCTATCTATCTATCATATCTATCTATCTAATCTATCTATCTCTATCCATCCATCCATCCATCCATCCGTCCATCCATCCATCCATCCATCCATCTTTCCATCTATCTAATTCCTCTGCACACTGTAGTCATCTCTCCATTTCTACAGCCATGACATAGCTTTGTAGGTGGTTATGTGTCTTCCCTAGGCGGTAAATTCCTTGAGGGCAGGCACCAGGTCTCTTCACCTTGGAATCATGACTGCCTAGTATAGTGCCTGCTTCTCAATCCATTTGCATACAATTTGTTGTCTTTCAAAGTAAGCATCTGGAAATTGAGAAATAAGAAGGAATTGGGTTCTTTGGTGACTGAAATTTGATCCCAGAGAACAACTTCATGTACTACTTTGGAAAGAGCTCAGAAAATCTGGGGATAGATTCTATAATTTCAGAGTATTAGAACTAGAAAGGCTTTTAATATAAACTTCTCATTTTCTGAATAGGGAAGCTGAGACCCAGAGAAATGATATGACTAGCCCAAGGTTGCTTAGCTTATTAGACTTGGGCCAGGACAAGAACCCAAGTCCTCTTCCTCCCAGACTGCTGTTTATGTGGCTACTTTTCCGCTGTCTTGCATGCTCAACTCTTTGTGCGACCTTGGTTTGAGTCACTTAGTCCTCACTAACTCCTTTTTTCTCCATTGCAAGAATGGAATTATTCCCACTGGATTGTTGGGTAGAACCAAATGATGTAAACACGTGAAAGTACTTTAAGCATCATTAAAATATGATGTTTTGTCTTAGGATACTTTTCAACCCTGGGTACTACGCAGAAAAAACCATTCATTCTCCGTGGTGACAGGAAATATTGTAGAATCTTACAATTGGCAGGCCTACAAAGAGTAAAATTCAAGACATTACAGACAGCATCTTTTTTTCATTTGTTTCAACAACCATTGTTTCATTTTAATAATCTGTGACAAGATGTTTAGCTAATAAGAAAAGCCTGGTAAGTAAATTGGTTAAAAACAAATATAGTCAGCACTGTAGGCCTTTCCTAAAATGCTTTGCTATTAACCCTTTTGTCAAGTAGGGTGTCAGCACTGCTGGGCAGGCACTTGTGGGATTTGCCAACCTTGGAGACTTCTGAAGAGTTGAAGTCAAATGGGGTTGTTTATTTCAGTGCTGCTCAATGTGCCTAGTTTATGGATAAGAAACTTAATTTTTTTTTAAAAAAAAGACTAGAATATGGAATATTTGGGGGTTTGTGAGGTCGTGAGCATGAAATGAAAGGCATACCAAACCAGCTATTTTCCATTCTATCACCTCAAGCTTGCTCTTGCAAATGTTTATTTGATAATTTAGGCAGTTTTTATTTATCATTATGAAGTGTGTGTGCTAAATACAGTGCTACATGTTGGGGAGATAGAGGGGAGAATTAAACCAACTGGGTTCTTCCCTAACCACAGCTATAGTCCCTTGAGGAAAATACATGAACAGGTAATGATATGCATTAAGGGAAGTACAAAGCGCTATAGGAGAACTCGGTTGGACCCTACATTATTTCCAGGGATTGACTGAAATATCAGAGTGTGCCTCTGGGCTAGTTTTTAAGTCTGACAGTCAGTCACTCTCATTTGCAGTTTAATTTCAACTTTCCACTCCTAAACTTTCAGGATGCTTTATTTGTCCTATGCCTATATTTAATAATAATGATAGCAAAATAGCTACTACTTAATAAGTACTGTGTGGTACGTTCTAAATAGCATCTTGCACAAATACTCATGTTTAGTTTAACCCTTCAATAACTCTAGTTTCTATTAGGAAACAGAATCCAATGTAAGTCTTTTGTAACTTTTTTGCTAATTCTTCAAACAATTTTCTTCTGCTCATCTAAATTATTTTGGCCAGTCTTTTTAGTCAAATTTTCCCTATTAATGTGTATTTGTATAATTGGAGGATGATGATGATGACATTAACTCATGTTTATTGGTGCTTACTGTTTTGCTAGGCACAGGGCTAAACTCCTCACAAAGCATCTTTTCATTTAATTGGCTCAAAAATCTTATGAAGTATGTCCAATTTTTTCTCCATTTTTGACAGATGAGGAAATGGAGGCTCAGAGAAGTTAAATGTTCCTGATAGATACACAACTGCTTAGTGAGAGACCTGGAATAAAATCTGTATCCTTCCATATGTTAAGCTTGAAAATTGAACACTATGCTACTTGAATACTACGCTACTTCAAAAGAAGTAGCATAGTATTCCACAGCTAAAAGATGCTACCCATGAACAGATGATTTTATATGTCTACTAGAAGACCATGATGTAGAACTCTGCCTAGACTGCCCTTTCTAGTTTCGCCACTTGGCTGACTCCATTGTTTGTGTTTTCTTAATTGTCATTAGGCTTCCAGTTAATCACAGTCCATTATTCACATAGACTTGTCACTTCTTCTCCCTCCCAAACCCTTGAACTGTTGGCAGGTAAGTACAGACATTGATCTTCAAGAATAAAAAGAATAGTAGGAGAGACAATAATGAATGGAAGGGCTCAACCACTTTTCTGAAGATAGGAAACAGATGCAGGCATGGCAAGCAACTTAGCAGAGTGGAGAAAGTGCCTCCTTAAATGCCTGCAGATGACTTGCCCATGGAGCCTGAGAAGCTCTACAAAAAGAGTATAGGATCAGTGGAAGGCTGGAGGGACAGGCTCAAGCAGGGTGACTGGCAGACCCCTGAGGGTGCGGCTTCCTCCAAGCCTTTCCTAGCCAGAAGGTGGTTACATCCTTGCCTTTACTATCATGCTGGAGAAAAGTCATTCTTTGGAGAATAAACTAGTGGGAGTGTGGTCTCAGGGACACCAACATCTGGGGAGAGCAAGGTAGTGTGGCATGGGGTTAAATGGGATTAAAGAAAACGTATACAACAAATTCGGAGACCCTCAGCAGCCTTCCCCCATTGCTTTAGAAGGCCAGCAGCCAGACATATGTCCTATTCTTCACCTTCTACAGCAGCAGATTGGAAGGTCATTTTGTGTAGAAATGAAGTGGGCCCAGAGAGATTTTTAGACACAGACATGTGGAGCTCTCCATCAGGAAGGATGGCTTGCCCTTTCATTACCCCGAGTAAAACCCAGCAATTAAGTATCTGCCCATGCTTACAGTGCTTCAGATGAAACACTTGATGCTTCACTCTGAAAAAACAAGCGGACAATCCAGGATAACTGGATATTTTGAGGAAGGCTTTCCACATGAAAGAGCTGAAAACACGCACAATATCAACCAGCCAATGAAAGAAACAAATCAACAAAACAACAAGGAAAAGGAATTCAGTGAAATAGAGACAATGTTGGGAACAAAGGAAAATTTTCAAAAAGCTGCCACTAATAACTTCAGAAATACAAGAAAATTTGTTGCATCTTTAGAATAACAACAGGAAGCTTGGGAAAAAGAAACATCAGAGCAATAAAGAGCTCTTGGGGAAAATATTTTTATTTCATATCCCAGAAAATAAATTTAAAAGTGCATACAATTTTGGAAAATAACTTTGTTGAAAAACAAGAGGAATAATGATGAATAAGAAGGAAGGAAAGAAAATTAGAATCTCAATCTAGGAAGCTTCACCTCTAAACATTAGGAGTTTCAGAAAGAGAAGATAGAGAAAAAGGAAAGGATAAGATAATCAAATGAATAATGTAGGAATATCTCTTACAGCTGAAATACGTGAGCTTCTACACTGACGGGTTCCCTAATTACTCAGCACACTATACACAAGAAGACCCTAGAAGAGTTACTTGAGATGAAAGAGGGAGGGAGGGAGGGAGGGAGGGAGAGAGAGAGAGAGAGAGGAAATTCAGAATGGCTTCTGAATGTTCTAGCATTCAGCAACACTGAATGCTAGAACAAAAGAGAAATATTTTCAAAACTTGGAGGGATAATTATTTTCAATCTACTATTCTATACTAAGCCAAATTATCGATTGAGGGTACACAGTAGTATACAGACATTTTCTGACATGAAAGGCTCAAACGTTTTGCCCACTACACATCTTTTCTTAAGAAGCAAATGAAGAATGTTCTTTATAAAATGAGGGAGTCAATCAAGGAAGAGAAAGACGTGGTATTAAAAAACCAGGCCATGTAATGCCTGGGGTGGAGGAGGGTGAAGAAAAGAAGGCTTAGCATGAAAGCCAGGTAGCTGGCCCGGAGATCAAAGGGTCCACAATAGGAGCAGAAGAACTGTAGGCCGTGGGAGAGAGGGTGCAGGATGGGTGGGTCGAAGAAGGGAGGGCAGGAGGCAGAAACGTATAGAGTGTTTGAAACTGTAGCCCAGCAAGTGCAAAAATTACCGATAGATTTTAAAAGATCCGTTGGGGCATTTAGGACAAAAGTAATAGTAAGTACATTTAAAAAATTAACAGAAACCAGGATGTATTAAGAATCCGAGGAAAAACAATAAGTTCTAGGAGAAGGAATAAGTAATTATGGTACATTACATGGTTTAGTAATAAACAACATTTATATAGTCATAATGATGCACCCAGTATTTGATATATAATTAAATTGAGGGATGTGGGTTGAGGATGGCATAAGAAAGCTAACCCCTTAAGTTCTATAACAGGAAGTCACTACAAAAGGCTGAAAATTTATAAAACAAGATTTAGCAGTGTAAGCATCTTATTTTGAAGATAGGGAAACAATTACCAGGAGAAGTAGGTACAACAATTGAAAGAGGTTGGCTCTGGGGAGCAGGACTGGGGTTTTGATGGTGACTGGGGCAGAAGATTACCATTTTCTCAGTATAATCTAGTTTATTTAAAGAACATTTATTATTTAGATGAAATAAAACAACCAGTATTAAAAATCATGCTTCCTGTGCAGCTTTTTTTGATGCCTTCCATGCAGTCAAAATTACTTGTCTTCCCCTCTTCTCCCACTCCAATTCTCCCTTCTCATTTTGTACTCATCCAGATTATATGACCTATTTTGCTAGTTTCATTTATTTATGATCTGGCTTTTGAGACTAATGATGAGTTATTTGAGTGTAGGGGCTATGTCAAAGGTTTCCAAAATTGCCTTGGTTCACATTGCCTTTATTGTCTCAGTAATGTTTTGATGAGGCCCCTAGTCTAAAATAAACACCCAACAGGTCTATTTATTAGGTAATGAGGTCCAAACAACTTAAAATATCTTTTGTGTTTCAGGAATGAGCACCAGGAGTTTACAGCACATGTTATTCATATCAGAGATGTCCCAGTTGGTATCCCTCAAATAAGACAAACTAACTTCCCCCACAACAAGGGTTGCTGAAATTGCTAACCACAATAATAGTCAAAATTTAAAATGAAAGAGAAAAAGACTAACCCAGAATTCTGCCAGTCAAAAACATCACCTGTTTTCACTTCCATATTTCTATCTAGTTTTTTCCATATGCAGAAAATTACATATTTTTACATATAATCAGTAAAGATGTAATTTTGTGTCATATTTTCTCAAGACTTTCAGACACAGCTTTCCTTGCCAGTACATGGTCTTCATAATGGTCATTTCCAACAGCTGTGTTATATTTCATCAGATTTTAGTGGTTATTGAAACATTTCCCTATGAATGGATGTATTGATTGACTCTTTCTTCCTCTACAATTAACATCTTCCTACACATTTCTCTATTCTTCTTTGTGATTATTTACCTAAGTTATTTTCTGGTGGAGGCTAAAATGGGTATGAATTTTTAGAGTATAGGAATCTCAAAACGGAGAGAAGTTGCTTTGTTAAACCTCAAACTTAAGGCAGGGACACCCTCTAAAGCCATATGCCTCTTCTTGACTCCTTTCTATAAATTTCACTTTCTCACAAGAAAGTTTATCCAATTGCTGGCCAGTTCAAATTTCTAAAATTCGGAGTTTCTTGATCCCCACGCAGCATCATTTGCTTGACTTGCTGGCCCTCATTCTGTCCTCAGGAGCCATACAAAACAAGTATGTTTTCTTCTTCCACATGACAGCCTTTCAAATATTTGAGGATGATGATAATGGACAAGTTGACCTTTGTACAATCTTTTGACTAAGGTATTCCCAGTCTCTGACTGTGAATCCTCCTACTCAGTCACCTTTGCCATTTTCTGCCCCAGTTACCCAAACTTCTTCCATTCCTGCCACACATCCACAGCTCCCCCAATGTCCTCCATGGGCTGTCCCTTTAGATCTATGCCACTGTATCCTGTTAAATCAAAGATGCCATCAATTGTAAGATGCAATATGATTTTTTAATTTTTTTAACTAAGAAACAAAAACTACTGCCAATTAAATTCTGACATGATATCAATTGTAAAGCACACCTCATTTTCCAAGAGAATAAAATATGAAAAAAAAATGTGTCTTAGAATCAATGACACACAGGAAGGCAGTTGTTTCTTTTGTTTTTTAATTTTTTATTTCCATATGTCTTTGGGGAACAGGTGGTATTTGGTTACATGAGTAATTTCTTTAGTGGTGATCTGTGAGATTTTCGTGCATCCATCACCTGTGCAGTATACACTGAACCCAATTTGTAGTCTTTATTCTTTACCTTCTTCCCACCCTTTCCCTGTGAGTCCCCAAAGTTCACTGTGTCATACCTTTGCATCCTCATAGTTTAGCTCCCTCTTCTTAGTGAGAACATATGATGTTTGGTTTTCCATTAATGGCAGTTGTTTCGTCTCTTCCAATTTGTACCTTGCAAGTGGGTCCCTGGGTTGGGGGTGGTTTCTGGTGTGTGTGTGTGTGTGTGTGTGTGTGTGTGTGTGTGTGTGTGTGTGTGTAGTATGTGTTGCAAAGGTGTGTCCATCCATCCTATAGATAACAATATAGTTCTATTCCAATAATCATTTATAGTAAGAATAATTGCAAAGTTGTAACTCAGGAATGGAGAAATTGCAGTCAAAGCACTGATGATGAGTATGGAAATCAGCTTAAAAGTAGAGCAAATCTGAAAAACTATTGAATTTATGTTCACATCTTCAAATGCAAATGGCATAAGCTTTCACAATGTCATGGTAATAATTTAACAAATTCAGGATGGGGTAGAGAGAAGATGTGTCTGTTGGGAAGTATAAGTATTCTAATATTCTCATGTCAAATAATCCATGAATGGTATATAAATTTGAAGCATAGTTTAAAAACATAATGACCCCAGCCTCTTAGTAAATTCACAACCATATTCATGTCTTTAAATTTAGCAACCTAGAGGGGTCATTTAAGAATTGATATTTCTTGTTGGGAAGAAAATTGAATGGTTTTTAGCAATTTAATTCTACATGATTTATACTTTACTGTAAATTCAAATAAATGCAATTTAATACTTTTATTAATGGTAGCATTTATAGTACAATCCATTAAAATTTATATTTCTAAGTTTTCTAAAGTACAGTAGATTCAAGAATTTATGGTTGGTGTGTTCTATAAAGTCGCTAGGAAAACTGAATTAGAGAATACTCAACCATTGTTCCTGGGGGAAATTATGTTTCAGGTTAGGTTCCTTTGAGCCTCTGATCACAGCATCTTCATTAACTGATCATTACAAAATTGTGTGTTTTATGTGTGTTTCTGTTTAAAGGCACCTTATTTAATATATATTGTTGATTCATTTAAATTGAACCCGTGACTGACGGCATTATAATTCATGACTGAATTGAGCTTATCTAACACTTGTATTTTCTCACATCATAGCTTCTTGCACTTTGGAAAACTAGGTGGAACTTCAGCATTATGCTTCGAAGCCACCGTAACCAGTAAAATCACCAACACGAAGCACAATAATGGGAATTACATGGCACAAAATAGACTGTGCAAAGGACACTTATTTACAGTATGAGTGCTGAAACCAAATGGCAGAATATCACCTGGTTTGACTTAGCTGGGAATGTGTTTGTCAGGTGACTCAAATTTCTGCTACTGTGTGCATATCTGTGAATGGCCACAAAAGCTCCAGTAGTATTGATTTTGGGATTACAAACAAATTTTAGCATGTAGGCAAATTCACAAATATGGAATCCACAAACAAGGAGGATACACTGTATCTCTAATAAGGTCTTCTTTCACCCTTCTTCCCCCTTTTCCTCCCTAACTTCATACCTGTTCTGACATCTTCTTATCCATAGAGAGATGTCTGAAATTGTATGAAGAAAGAGTTGACGAACACTATGACTGGGTGGTGGAATTTTTAATCTGTATTTGAAAAAATATATAACAGTATACATTTTAACACATATAATGAAGTCATTATTGTTAAAACATTGATATTAAACTTTATTATTACATATTACAAAAAATAAAATATAGTAAGACTTTTTGTTTGTTTACCACAATGGTATTTGTGCTGTTTTTTTCTGCACTATAATTCAATCTTTCATTAGGAGTTAAGGAAATAGGCAGTCATACACTGCTGATTTTAGTGTAAATTAGCAAATTTTGGGGGGAAGAAAATTTGGCAAAATGTATCAAAAATGTCAATGATTTTCATTTCACTCATTAATTCCATTTAGGAATTTTACCCATGGAAATAATCCCCCCAAATTTATTAATAATATTATGATTGTTAATAGTTGTAAATATGTGAATCAATTCAACAGAACATCAATAAGAGCTCAGAAAAAGGAAATACAGCTTTTAGAAATCATGTTCTTTAAGAATTTGGATGACATTGTTAATGTAATGACAGATAAAACACCATACATGCAGATACATATGTTAAAAAGACTTGAAGGGCTGGAAGAAGTAGGTCATGCCTGTAGTCCTGGCACTTTGGCAGGCTGAGGCAGGTGGATCATCTGAGCCCAGGAGTTCGAGACCAGTCTGGGAAACATGGCGAAACCCTGTCTCTACAGAAAATACAGAAATTAGCAGAGCACTGTGGTGCACGCCTGTGATCCTGAGGTGGGAGAATCGCTTGAGCCCAAGGGATGGAGGTTGCATGCAGTGAGCTATGATCTCACCACTGCACTCCAGCGAGAGAGAGACAGAGAGAGGGAGACAGAGAGAGAGAGAGAGAGAGAGAGAGAGAGAGAGAGAGAAGGGAGGGGGGAGGGAGGGAAAGAAGGGAGGAAGTAAAGAAAGATTTGAAGAATATATAGCTAAAATGTCAGCAGTGATTGTCTGGGAGACAGGATTCTAGGTAAGTTTCATTTAAAAACTATTTGTAGGTATGATTCACCATTTCTACAGTAAATATGTACTACTTTACAAAAATTGATAAAATTATTTAAAAAATATACTTGGCCCCTCAAGGAAACATCATGATAATGGTCTAATTTACACAAATATAGGTGCCTGTTTTTCTGTTGTTGTCATGATTTTTCTTTAATTTTTATCTTAAGTTCTGGGGTACATGTGCAGGATGTGCAGGTTTGTTACATAGGTAAACGTGTGCTATGGTGGTTTGCTGCACCTATCAATCTGTCACATAGGTATTAAGCCTAGCATGCATTAGCTATTTTTCTAGGCAATACCATTCAGGACATATGTACGGGCAAAGACTTCATGACGAAATTGCCGAAAGCAATTGCAACAAAAGCAAAAATTGACAAATGGGATCTAATTAAACTAAAAAGCTTCTGCACAGTGAAAGAAACTATCATCAGAGTGAACAGGCAACCTACAGAGTAGGAGAAAATTTTTGCAATCTATCCATCTGACAAAGATTTCACATCCAGAATCTACAAGGAACTTAAACAAATTTACAAGAAAAAACAACCCCATTGAAAACTGGGCAAAGGACATAAACTGACAGTTCTCAAAAGAAGACATTCATGCGGCCAACAAACATATGAAAAAAAAAAGCCCAACATCACTGGTCATTAGAGAAATGCAAATCAAAACCACAATGAGATACCATCTCATGCCAGTCAGGATGGCAATTGCTGTCATCATTTTTTTTTTGTTTTGTTTTTGTTGTTATTTTTTGAGGACCTTCTGCTTGTTTGGCACTCTGATAAATATTGTATCATTTAAAGTAATTTGTAATACAATCTTGTGAGGCAGATTTACTTATATTCAATTTATGGATGTGAGTACCTAGTCAGAGAGATTAAGCACATAACCCAAGGTTGTCCAATTAATTAAGGTCCCCCCAATTAAATCCAGAGTCCAGATTTAAACACAAACCTTCCCACTTTCACCTACAAATGACAATGTCAGAGTTGGAAAACCATTGTTCTGCAGAGATTAGTAGAGCAAGCTACCATTTTATTGCCAAAAAAACCATTTTCTATAAGTAATTTATTTGAACTTCACAACAGTCCAATGAGTAAATGAAAGTACTGCTAAAGATGGTTCTTTATATATAATTAGAAATTATTCCAATTAGGAATTTATGATGTTCAATATATCATTCATTCATTGATCCTACGTGTTCCTGTCATGTTCCTAAAACATGCCAGGCATTGTTCTAGTCACTGGTGATGTTAGCAATTAACAAAAGCAAATTCCTTGCACTGATGAAGCTTTCCTTCTTGTTTGGAGAGACTTTGCCCTAAAAGCAAAAATGAGAAAGGGCTTTCCCAGTTTTATGATTCTTCTATTTCTGGGTAGGGGGCTTTGAGCAGTATGGTTAACTTTGTCCTCAGTTGGAGAAATTGGAGGAGGAATAGTTTTTGGAGACTCAAGTGTGTATGGAAAATCAAGGCCTTAAACTGGAGATGCCTATTAAATATCTAATGAGGATGTTAAGCAAGACTCATTTATGAGTATGAAGTTTAGGTGAGAGGTCAGGTGTGGAGATAGAAATTTGGGAGACATTGGCTTATATATGGTACTTAAGTCATGGAATTATATGCAATTATGTAGGGAGATGGTGCCCCGAAGCACACCAACATTTAGACAAGTGGAAGATTTGGAGGCACCGAAAGGGACTGAAAAAAATAAATACATAAAGATAGAAATCCAGAGAAGTCTGGTGTTAACGGAAATCATTTACTGTAGAACCTGGCTTAGAATGCGGTTCTGATTCCCAGTGTTTGTACCATTCTCCAGTTACTGAAGATTTTAGTATGCTTTTTTTTCTTTTTATGCTTAAAATTTGTCTCTAAAAGAGTTATTTAAATGATAATTGAAGTGGTAGATTTGCCAGATGGTAATTGCTAAGATGACTTTCTTTACTTTCTAAGTCTTTTGGGCGCAAGTCCAGTTTTCTGTAATCTTCAAACATATGTGTAAATAGTTCAGTGAGTTCGTTACCAAACTCCCCGAACAGCAAAGCATGATATCATCCAGAAGCCAATTCTCACTTTAAGGTAAATGGAGCAATGAACCATTTACCTTAAAGGACCTTCACAAGTAGGTTCATCTACTTGTAGTGTCCTTCAAAATCCACACTTTGTTATTTTTTTTTTTTATAATTCTTACTTTTCCATAAAGGTATAACCATCACATAATAAATTGAACTAATTTTAAATGCAGTGTGTTTTTATACCTGCATATGCTCATCTGTGCACCACCCAGACTGAGATATTCAAATTTTCCAATACCTCACAGCCACTTCCGTGCCCTTTCCCAGTCAATACCAACACTCTTCACTTTCCTCCATCACTATTCTGATTTCAATTTCTATGAGCTACATTTACCTGACCTTGAACTCCATATAAATGAAATTAAACAGTATTTTTTCCTTTGCTTCTGGCTTCTTTCATGTAATGTGATGCCTGTGAGATATGTGGTAGTAGTTCGTTCTTTTTAAAATCTTTCTGTAATATTTCATTTTATGAATATACCATAATTTATGTGTACATTCTGCTGATGATGGACATTTGGTTTGTTTCCAGTGTTTGACTATTATGAATGAAAGAGCTATGGTGAACACGCCACTCATTTCTCCTGGATATATGCCTGGGAGTAAACTGATGGATGTATAAATGCATTTAGGAGTGGAATTGCTAGGTTATAACATTGGCATTTGTGTTTTTCTTTATTCCAGTCTCTAAAAAATACAAATTAAAATAATGTGTCATTTATTGCTTATGAAGTTAGTAAATATTTCAGTATGTAGACTACCATTTTCTGTTCTCACTTTCACACACTGCTGGTTGAATTATGAATCGGTATACTCTTTTTAGAAAGTATTTTGGGAAGTATTTTGCCTTTAAAATTTTTATACTACTTGACCCAGGAGTCTTTTCTCCTTTTACTTTTTTAGAACCCATCCTAAGAAAATAATCATAAATATTGTTAAAATTTCTAAAACAAGATATTTACTGGATAACTATTTGTAGTAGAAAAAACAATGAAGATGGTCTATGTCCATCAATAGGGAATACTTGAAGTAAATTATGTAAGAACCTCTCAATGAAAGATTACATTTTATCTATGTAGGTATCAATAAAATGTGATTTAGCATTTTATCAATTGTATGTCAGTAAAGTTTGACTTTTTTGCCTATGAAAGAGTTTATAACAGTATAGAAATATGGTTTGCTACAATGCTAAATGTTAAAAGTAGAACATATATTTAAAGTTTGAACATAACATTGGATATGGAAGAAATATCTCCCAGGAGGAAATATCAACAAAATGCTAGTGCTGACCAACAGCGTAATAAATTGCTGGGTGATTATTCCCTTTTCTCTATTTTAAAAAATTTCTGAAATGTTTAGTCTAGTTTTATTTGTGTAATTGGCTGCTTTTACTGGTCATTTGAGATAAACACTGATTATCCAACTAATACAAACTTTTTAGTTTCATACTTACCACAGATGGTGGGACGTGGGTAGAACCAAGCTTTCCTAATGCTTCTTAAGAATTTCTTTTGCCGGCCGGGCGCGGTGGCTCACGCCTGTAATCCCAGCACTTTGGGAGGCCGAGGCGGGCGGATCACGAGGTCAGGAAATCGAGACCATCCCGGCTAAAACGGTGAAACCCCGTCTCTACTAAAAATACAAAAAATTAGCCGGGCGTAGTGGCGGGCGCCTGTAGTCCCAGCTACTTGGGAGGCTGAGGCAGGAGAATGGCGTGAACCCGGGAGGCGGAGCTTGCAGTGAGCCGAGATCCAGCCACTGCACTCCAGCCTGGGCGACAGAGCGAGACTCCGTCTCAAAAAAAAAAGAATTTCTTTTTCCTAATATCCTTCTTAGTGATAACACTATTTCTTATTATTGTGTTTTGCATAGACATAATATTTTTACTATTTGCACCAAACAACTGGTTTTGGTGTTTTCAAACCAAACTAGTTTCTTAGGGCTGCCATAACGAAGTACTACAACCTGGGTAAAACAACAGTTTTACTCTCTCACAGGTCTGGAGGCTAGAAGGTTGAAATCAAGGTATTAGCAGAGCCATGTTTCCTCTGAAGGCTGTAGGTAAGGAATTTCCTTGACCCTTCCAGCTTCTAGTGGGTGCTGGGGTTATTTCGCTTGTGGCAACATAACTCCAATCTCTGTCTCTGTATTTTCACATGGTCTTTTCCCTGAGTGTTTCTCTGTGTCCTCTCTTCTTATAAAGACACCAGTTTTTGGACATAGGATCTACCCTAAATCCAGGATAATTTCACCTTGAGATCCTGAATTAATTACATCTTCAAAGACAGTATTTAAAAATATCGCATTCTGAGGTTCTGTGTGGACATGAATTTTGAAGGAACACTATTTAATCCACTACGAACAGTAACAACAATATTATCAACAATATGTCTTGTGATTTTTAAGTCCTTAAGCTTAATATACCTAATAAATATAACAATGGTTTCCTTAAATATATTGCCTTCTTTGTAAAAGGTGGGTGGAACCCCAAATTTTTAATAGTGTGATTTTGAGAAGTAGGAGCCAGAAAAGGTTAAGGAATCGTGTAGTCTGAGAGGCTTCAGGCTCTGATTTTGTAATGCTTTGGGAAGACGCAGTGTCTCCACAAGAGATGAGATCTGAAAAGGTTAAGGGTTGTGTCTAATGTGAACTTACTGGAAAAACAGGAAATGAATGAGGCGCCTGAACATCGAACAGAGATTTTGTTCTTTGCCATTTCTCTTCATGACGTAGGAATTCCGGTAATCCATTATCCACACTCAATCCTTCGGTAGGATGATGTGAGTTGCTGTGTCTGGTGACTCTTCCGTTGGTAGTGGGAATTGTTTTCCCAGCAATTGAGACCTCTAAATTCTGATATTTTTGTTGAGGGAAATTCCAAAAGCACTTACTGTAAAATGAACATGCAGGGGTGAGTTTCTGGCAGTTGGGCTTTCCACAGTGTTTTATAGTCGTATAAATTAGATGTAGTAAAGGAAGCCTTTGGACCACAAGGGTCTTTATCCTGACTAAGCAGCAACAACAGTGTTTAGGACAATACCAAAGAGAGAAGACTGACATTCAGTTACTCATTTATTTAAAAAATATTTATTGAACACCTATGTGCCATGCCCTGGACTGTGTGCTGGGAATACCACAGTGATCCAAACAGTGCACCTTCTTTCAAGGAAGTCTGGGGTCTTATGGTGCAGATGAACAAGTAATCAGGCATTCAGAGTACAGGGAAGGATATGGAATGGGTGGCATAGGGAAGTGCAAGATACAAGCAATTATGGACCACCATAGCAGTTTAAAAGACGCAGCACCTAATTTAATCTTTGTGTGGTGGTGGGGTACCATAAAGTTCTTGGTCGAAGCGTCAACTAAGCAGAGATCTGTAGGGTGAACTCAAACAGATCTTTGTCAAAAGAGGAGTGAAAAAAGGTATTCATGGTTAAGTTGTTGGTCGAAGCGTCAACTAAGCAGAGATCCATAGGCTGAACTTAAAGAGATCTTTGTCAAAAGAGGAGTGAAATTATGTATTCATAGTCTTCCACGCTTATCAGAAGAGTCTTATTTCCACTTTTCTTCCTATAACTACAATTTCAATTAATAGGGGAATGCATCAGCCTTTGAATGGAGAACCAGAAATTTAGGCAGTTGACACCCAGGGTATATTCTGTGACGCATTGTTTGGAAGAAAGCCTTGTGATCAGTTATCTCCATGTATTAATAGTAGGAGTTCACCTAATGCTGATTAATAACAACAACAAGGATTTTTTTATTTTTATTTATTTATTTTATTTATTTATTTTATTATTATACTTTGAGTTTTAGGGTACATGTGCACAGTGTGCAGGTTAGTTACATATGTATACATGTGCCATGCTGGTGTGCTGCACCCATTAACTCGTCATTTAGCATTAGCTATATCTCTTAATGCTATCCCTCCCCCCTCCCCCCACCCCACCACAGTCCCCAGAGTGTGATGTTCCCCTTCCTGTGTCCATGTGTTCTCATTGTTCAATTCCCACCTGTGAGTGAGAACATGCAGTGTTTGGTTTTTTGTCCTTGTGATAGTTTACTGAGAATGATGATTTCCAATTTCATCCATGTCCCTACAAAGGACATTCACTCATCCTTTTTTATGGCTGCATAGTATTCCATGGTGTATATGTGCCACATTTTCTTAATCCAGTCTATCATTGTTGGACATTTGGGTTGGTTCCAAGTCTTTGCTATTGTGAATTGTGCCGCAATAAACATACGTGTGCATGTGTCTTTATAGCAGCATGATTTATAGTCCTTTGGGTATATACCCAGTAATGGGATGGCTGGGTCAAACGGTATTTCTAGTTCTAGATCCCTGAGGAATCGCCACACTGACTTCCACAATGGTTGAACTAGTTTACAGTCCCACCAACAGTGTAAAAGTGTTCCTATTTCTCCACATCCTCTCCAGCACCTGCTGTTTCCTGACTTTTTAATGATTGCCATTCTAACTGGTGTGAGGTGGTATCTCATTGCGGTTTTGATTTGCATTTCTCTGATGGCCAGTGATGGTGAGCATTTTTTCATGTGTTTTTTGGCTGCATAAATGTCTTCTTTTGAGAAGTGTCTGTTCATGTCCTTCGCCCACTTTTTGATGGGGTTGTTTGTCTTTTTTCTTGTAAATTTGTTTGAGTTCATTGTAGATTCTGAATATCAGCCCTTTGTCAGATGAGTAGGTTGCGAAAATTTTCTCCCATTTTGTAGGTTGCCCGTTCACTCTGATGGTAGTTTCTTTTGCTGTGCAGAAGCTCTTTAGTTTAATTAGATCCCATTTGTCAATTTTGTCTTTTGTTGCCATTGTTTTTGGTGTTTTAGACACGAAGTCCTTGCCCATGCCTATGTCCTGAATGGTAATGCCTAGGTTTTCTTCTAGGGTTTTTATGGTTTCGGGTCTAACATGTAAGTCTTTAATCCATCTTGAATTAATTTTTGTATAAGGTGTAAGGAAGGGATCCAGTTCCAGCTTTCTACATATGGCTAGCCAGTTTTCCCAGCATCATTTATTAAATAGGGAATCCTTTCCCCATTGCTTGTTATTCTCAGGTTTTTCAAAGATCAGATATTTGTAGATATGCGGCGTTATTTCTGAGGGCTCTGTTCTGTTCCATTGATCTATATCTCTGTTTTGGTACCAGTACCATGCTGTTTTGGTTACTGTAGCCTTGTAGTATAGTTTGAAGTCAGGTAGCGTGATGCCTCCAGCTTTGTTCTTTTGGTTTAGGATTGACTTGGCAATGCGGGCTCTTTTTTGGTTCCATATGAACTTTAAAGTAGTTTTTTCCAATTCTGTGAAGAAAGTCATTGGTAGGTTGATGGAGATGGCATTGAATCTGTAAATTACCTTGGGCAGTATGGCCATTTTCAGGATATTGATTCTTCCTACCCATGAGCATGGAATGTTCTTCCATTTGTTTGTATCCTCTTTTATTTCATTGAGCAGTGGTTTGTAGTTCTCCTTGAAGAGGTCCTTCACGTCCCTTATAAGTTGGATTCCTAGGTATTTTATTCTCTTTGAAGCAATTGTGAATGGGAGTTCACTCATGATTTGGCTCTCTGTCTGTTTTTGGTGTATAAGAATACTTGTGATTTTTGTACATTGATTTTGTATCCTGAGACTTTGCTGAAGTTGCTTATCAGCTTAAGGAGCTTTTGGGCTGAGACAATGGGGTTTTCTAGATATACAATCATGTTGTCTGCAAACAGGGACAATTTGACTTCCTCTTTTTCCTAATTGAATATCCTTTATTTCCTTCTCCTGCCTAATTGCCCTGGCCAGAACTTCCAACACTATGTTGAATAGGAGTGGTGAGAGAGGGCATCCCTGTCTTGTGCCAGTTTTCAAAGGGAATGCTTCCAGGTTTTGCCCATTCAGTATGATATTGGCTGAACAACAAGGATTTATTAGGGGCAGCCAGAACTTGAGATATTTGATGAATCTAGGGTTTTATTTTAAAGTCAAAATAACTGAAGCCTCATATAAGAGAGTTTGTAATGAAGCTTGTGTCTTCTAAGTATAGCTTATGTATTCTACGTTTTTTGTATATATGTGTATAGAAGCTTAGATTACTTTTTAAAAATAAAGGAACAATGGTGCAAAATTGACCATTTGAACATTGTTAATTTTTTAATTACGTGGTATGTTAAAAATACAGAGAAAGCAAAAATAAATATGACAAATATTCACGAAATTACCACCTCACTGTCATCTTAATATTTTTGAAATATTTGCTTCAAATAATATTTATTAAGAAGTAAATAATCAGAAGTACAGTTGAACCCCTCTGTGTTTCTTTTCCATCCCGTTTTATGTTGTCATTCATCAGAGATAATTGCTGAATCCCATTAGAATATTATTGTGAATTGGGTGTTTATCATTACCTAATCGCTTACCATAATCTATTCTTCTCTTCTTTGGAACAGGTAAACCTTGATTTTTAAAGGGAAGAATATGTTTCCCAGTTGCCCTCGCAATACTGTAGTACTAAGATTTGGCCATTAATATTAGATAGTTGTGTTGTGTGTAACTAGAAGGAAATCTCCTTACAAATAAAGAAAAACATCTCCTTTGCCTCTTTCTCCATCCTGCCACTGGAACTTTGATATAATGGTTAGAGTTATAGCAAGCATCTAGGATCCTGAGATGAAAGACATTGTCTGAGAAGGGCAGAGAGACAGATGGAAGAATGCTGGGACTGATTATCTTGTGGGTTGGCCATATATAAACCTTGTATGGTCTATCCCTCTGCATATCTTTTACATGAGAGAAAAACAGGCTGTCATGTTTGTTGTTATTTCTTCAGTCTTTATGTCTAGCAATTAAACCTAACACTAACATTGTAACTATTCTAACATATAGATATTAGTAGTGTATTTTTCAAATTTAAATATATCAACGTTCTATTTTTAATATTTGACTTTTTTGTTACATTTTGAGATTTATTCATTTTAACATATCTAGTTCTAGTTCATTTTTATTTTGTTTATAATATTACAGAATTTAATAATTTTCTGCTCGTGAACATTTAAGTGGTTTCTAACATTTTCTTATTACAAACATGATGTGATAAACATTTTAAAAGAGATCTTTATTTTTACACTTATGCCAGAATTTCTTATTGAGTTTGGTATATAGATCTTGTATCTAGAAATCTTGCTGAACTTCTAAAAAAGTTCTAAATCGTTCTATAAATTATCTTTGGGTTTCTATGAGAAAATTTTACTGGGAGAAATAATAATTTATTCATTTCTAATTTTATACCTCTTATTTCTTTCCTTATTGCATTGTCTACGGCCTCAAATGGAAGTCAAAAAGAAGACAACTTTATTTTATTTCTTCACTTAATTTGAATGCTTCTAAGGATACATTATATTAAATACATTTGCAGTTATTTTTAGTTAAATAAATTATATTTACTACTTGTTTGATAAGCATTTTGTCAGGAATTAACAAGTGAGCATTTTGTCATTTTGTTATGTTGAATGCTTTTCCTGTACCTATTGTTTTTATTTATATTTTTAATGTAGTACATCACATTAATACATTTTTATGTTTTCCTTTTAAATTTAATTTGATTTTATAGCATCATGAGAAAATATTTTTAAAGTCAAATAGTTCTACAATATTAGGATCCTTTCCAAATTACCAGTACCCAGAGGCAACCCATTTCAAATCTTTTAGTGTTTCTTTTTGTATTTACCTCCATATTTCCAAATAACATGAACATATTGCTATTTCTTGGTTTTTCAGTTGTATACGTTAATATGCTGCTATTTTTTTTCTGTTTTTGATAGTATCTATTTAATGTTTACTTTGGAAGATGGGTACTTATCTCTACCTCTCCCAATATAGATGTATCACATTTGTGTTTTAAAAAGTATTTACATTACAGTATGTAAATATTCACCATTGAGCAAGGTAAGGTACTAGGATCAACTTTTTTTGTTTGTATGTATATGCATATAGTTTATATATTATTTACTCTAGAGTTAACACATTCTTCACTTTATTTGCCTATTTTTTCCGTGTACCTATCCTTAATTCATTCTAAAACTCACACAGTGCAATCATTTTTTCAGTATATTCAGAGAAATTAAGGCAATATATCACGGGTGGAGGTGTGTGGAATAATCACACATAGAAAGACAGGTTTTTGTTTTTTTTGAAGCCTTACATCTTTGAGAGCAGCTGTTGACTGGGGACATCCTTTACCATCATCATGAGAATTACCTTACCTTTGCATCTCTCCTGGGTTGGAGTTCAAGTTAGTTTTTCATTCCTTGCTTTCTCTTTTTAGGTTAATGGCTTTGTTTGGTAGAACATACCCTTCATCTTCTTTCTGAATAAGAATTCATGGCATGAACACGAGGACAGGAGCAACAGACACTGGGTCTACTTGAGAGTGGGGGGCGCGAGGAGTGAGAGGAGCAGAAAAAAATAACTGTTGGGTACTAGGCTTAATACCTGGGTGATGAAATAATCTGTACAACAAACTCTCATGACATGAGATTATGTATATAACAAACTCTCACATGTAGCTCGAACCTAAAATAAAGGTTTAAAAAATAAAGAATTCATGGCAGATAATTTTTAAAGATATTGCCAGTTTGCAAAATTCTTCTTTCGACCTTCACATTTGGTTGATGGTTTTCCCTGGTATAGACTTCTAAGTTTAAAATCACTACCCCTCTCTTCACATTTGAAGATATTTCTCCATTGTCTTGTAGAATCTGGTGTTCCTGCAAAAAAGTTCCGTGCCACTCTGATGCATGAGTATGTAAAATTGTATATTTTTCTCCTGTATGGACCCTAAGTCTTTTATTTACCTTCACTGTTCTCGTATTTTATAATACTATGCCCTGGTGAGAGTTTGTTTTCATTTCTTGTGCTTAGAGTGTGCTAGACACCAATGGGGTCTTTTAATCTCTAGACCCATATCCTTTAATCATGGGAAATTCTTGTACTGTTTCATTATTATTTCTTTCCCTATGTTTAATCTTTCTTTCTGGAACTCCTAATATTTAGCTGTTGGTCCTCCCAAACAGATCCTTTATTTTTAAAAATTTCCTATTTTTAGCTCTTTGGACTTTGGTTCTAGGAGATTTCTTCAGATTTATCTTTCAAACGCTACATTGGATTTAAAATTTTTGCTGTCATATTTTTAATTTCAAAGAGCTCTTTTTTTCCTTGTTGTCCAAATGGTATTTGTTCTTGTCTCATGAATGTACTATGTTTTACCTCTTTGAGACATTTTAAAAACTTTCATTCTTACTGCATTTTCTCTGTTTTTTGATACTTCTAAATAATTATTTTCATCTGTCTATTATGTTGGAAGTATTCTTCAAAAAACTGACAATTTTTTTGCTGTCCATTTATATTGAGAGGTGAGGCACTTAAAAGTTCATTGAATGGCCAACACGTGGGGTGAGGACTTTCTGAATGATGGGCTTCACTACTGGGTACCAAGCAGAGAGTCAACTAGTTCCTTGCAGAATCACTAGTAGTCCAGTAACTACATGTCTTTTCACATGGGGTCAATAGTCCAGAATCCTCAAGGCTACTCCCTGGGCTTATAAACCTAGATGATGACCTTCTGGGAGTTGAGTGAAAAAGGGAGCTGGGCTCTCCTTTTGAGCATTTTTAGTTCTGCCCTCTTCCCTCAGCTGTACCTGGTATCACTGAGTTCAGAGGCTTTGGATTCCACGGTTCAAGTGATAAACTTCATCTTTTGAGGCCCTGAGTGTAAGTGGAAATGAGGAGAGTAGTTATCTCATTTGGGGTTTATGAGGTGTCCTAGGAGTCGAACTGCTTCTCACACACACCTTTATTCTTTGTTTCACTATATCTCCAATGTCAGAGGTATCTGGCATTTCTGATTCCTGGTTTCTGTTCTATTAGGGTTAGGCTAGGAAATAGGGCTAGGGTTAAATGAGAGAATTTTATTCATTCTTTTCTGTCTCTATCTACATTAATTCTGTCCTATCCAATGATTTAAAAATTGTCTTCCCCTTGCCTTCAGGCCCGTATAGGTCTCTAGGTCTCACCATAGCATTTCAGACATCCTGTTTCACACACAACAATAATGGGAATGTTGTAAAGCCAGGCTCCAAATCAGCTTGGTTCCATTTCTAATTGTGAGGTAGTGACTGTGCCCTCCAGTCCCTCTTGGGTTTGAAGCCTGCTAAAATCCATAGCTCCATGTAGAGCTGGGAAGCAGGGATTTTCCCCCTTATTTATAAGTGGGAAAACCCTGTATGTATAGCCACTAGCTCTAAGCAGTGAGCCTAGTCCTGATTGTCCATCTTGGATGGCTTAAGTTTTATGATAATCACTCTGTGGGACCTGAACCCTTTGCCCCACTGCTGAGCCCCACGTGCAGAGACCAGGAGGCTCTTGGCTATATTCTCGATTTCTCAAATTGTATTTTTTTTTCTTTCGAGATGGAGTCTACCTCTGTCATCCAGGCTGGAGGGCAGTAGTTTGATCTTGGCTCACTGCAAACTCTGCTTCCTGGGTTCAGGTGATTCTCCTGCTTCAGCCTCCTGAGTAGCTGTGATTACAGGTGTGTGCCACCACACCTGGCTAACTTTTGTATTTTTAGTAGAGATGGGGTTTTGCCATGTTGGCCAGGCTGGTCTCGAATTCCTGACCTCAAGTGATCCATCCGCCTTGGCCTCCCAAAGTGCTGGGATTACAGGCGTGAGCTACCATGCCTGGCCCTTGATTATATTCTCTCTCACTCATTTGTGTCTTTGTTCCCTTCCTTATCTGATAGAAGTCATCTTTTCTCCCCCATTATTCCTATGTCTTTTTGCATGTACATGCATGCATGCATCCACACACATGCATATTTTTCTTTGTCAGTTGTATTGTTTGGAAAAGAGAAACAAAGTGTGAACACAATATACCATCTTCACAGAAAATTTAAATAGCAGTTCTTTGAAAACAAACATAACAGCAACAATGACAACAACAAAATCAAAAGCCAACAACCAAATGCAAACCCACTGCCTTTCACTTAAAAAAAAAAGCAAGTAAGATTTGGATTGGGTCTAATTTGGATACTATATATGACCATGCCTTGTATTACCTAATGCCTCCTCACAAATCTTAATTATTCATTTTATGCTTATGAATCTAGGTCACCTCATTAAGAAATCTTATGACCTTCTTCACACTGGCCTCATTTTTTTTTTAATGCTTCAAACATAAAAGATGAACTTTTGAAGACCTGGGATTTAACTCTTTCTCAAACATATTCCCCAAACTTCCAATATAATCAAAGCATTTTTCTGTTTCTGGAGTCTTTGAGCAGTGTTTGGCTGAGAGGTACACAATGAGAGGGTTATAAGGTTGTTCTCGACAGCCTGGGTGAGATAGAGTGACCTCCTTACTGCATGCAGTTTTCCAGCGCTGGCCCACTGCCGGAAATGCAGAAGTTTCCCAAGAAGACAAACACTGAGAAGTTCACTAAACATGTGGACTTTAATTTGCTTCTTGAAATGCCAGGCTGTTTTCTTTTTCTGGCAGAAATTGTTACTCCTCCTCTAATCTCACAGACTGTAAATGCTAGTTCTACTTTGGTAACAATTTTCCCTGAACTTCGTCAGTTCCATTCAACAAGTATTTATTGAAGCGTGCCAGGCAATGTTAGGTACGGGGAATATAATAATGAATGCAGCACAGTTCTGGTGCTTAATGACCTCGTGGTCTCATGTCAGCAGAGACACACGGGACTGCAAACCCAAAGACTTACCAGGTGGCAAACCTTTGTCCTTAGTGTTCTAGCTGCCGAAGTTCACATTTGCAGAACCATTTGCTCACTGAGACCTTGAAAAATAAGTTAGTCTCTCTGGGCTTGAGTTTCCTCATCTGTATAAAGAACATGATAATGGTACTATATGGTATACACATATATACAGACATATATACACTATAGATTATCATTCTCTTATACATACTGTTGATCCTTGAACAACGTGCATTTGAACTGTGCGAGTCCACTTATATATGAATTTGCTTCCACCTCTGTCACCCCTGAGACAGTAAGACTAGCCCTTTGTCTTTGCCGTCCTCCTCCTCCTCAGCCTGCTCAACATGAAAATAATGAGGATGAAGGCTGTTATGATGATCCACTTACACTCAAGGAATAGTACATATATTTTCTCTTTCTTATAATTTTCTAAATAATATTTTCTTTTCTCTAGCTTCCTATGTTGTAAGAATACAGTATATAATACATGTAACATACAAAATACTTGTTAATTGACTGTTTATGTTTTCAATAGGCTTCCAGTCAACAGTAGGCTATTAGCAGTTAAGTCTGTGGGGAGTTAAAAATCATATTGGGACTTATGACTATGTGGGGGGGTCAGCATCCCCAGCCCCCACATTGTTGGAGGGTAAACTGTACATATGTAAATATACATACACACAGATATGTGGATATATGTATATATTCATATATTTGTATGTGTACACATAGTATACATACCTATGTATGTATATACGCGTGTGTGTGTTTGTGTATGTGTGTGTTGTAGATTAAATTTCATAATACACGTAAAGTATAAACTTGAGGCTGGCAAATAGGAAGGACTCCTTAAATATTAACTTCTATTGTTCTGTGTATTTTAGCTCTATAACACGAAGGAAAGCCTAAACTAGTAATGGATAAAACATGGTCTTTAGAGACAGGTAGGTCTGGGTTTAAAACCTCATTCAACAACTTATAAACTTGAGTAACCTTGTATGTGAAGTCCTTCGTCCATTTTATAATCAATGCTCAATGAGTGTTGCTTTTATTATTATTATTAATATTTTTAGAGGCAGGGTCTCACTGTGTTGTCCAAGCTGGAGTGCAGTGGCTGTTCACAGACATGATCATAGAGCACTATAGCCTCAAACTTCTGGGCTCAAGTGACCCTCTTGCCTCAGCCTCACAAGTAGCTGGGACTACAGATGTGTGCCACTGTACCTGGCACTTTTATAATTACCATTTCTTAATATTATGAAACAAACCTTTCTCATCTCAAAAGTAATTACTATTATCTTTAAATTATAATTATCGTTACATTATTTGTGTTGGAAATAATAAATATGATTATATTATCTACAATATCATATCTTATTTATATTATATAAATTATATATTATATTAATAATATATAATATGTGATATAATAGGTTTATTATATATTTTATATAATATATTTTATATTTATTATATATATCTTTGTGTTGGAAATAATATATTAAATATTATTTCCAACAGTATTTACTTTTCTATCTCCATTATATATTTTGCATTCATCTCATCTACTTCATTTCTATTCCCATTTTCTAGCTCATATCTTGGTCACTTCTCCCTTTATTATATTAGTCTTCTAATTCATGTCCCTGTTCAATTACTCTCTCCTCAAGTCCTCTTTCATAACACTTTCAGATAAATTTTCTTTAACTGCAAATCTGATGATATCACTCCTCTATTCTCCATTGCTGGTATAATAAAGCCAGACTCTTTTTTCTCATTTCAACCTAAATTTGAATTCTGTCTACCTTCTTATCTTTAATTCTCACTATTCCCCTTTATATACTTGACATGAAAATTTCAAGGAGATAGTCCCTCTCTGCTGAAACCTTGCCGTTATTTTCCTCTGGCTTCTTCCTGTACTACCTCTTTGAGCTTTGCTGCATGTCCAAATCTTCCAAGGCCCAATCAAGCTCTTTTACTTGGTGGTGTCTCCTCTGGTCCCCTCTCCCTGTCTTTCAAATACTCTCAACATTTTAACTACATCTTCATAATGGCTAGATTTTGACTGTGTTCTAAATTTTACCTGCCTATTGTTTATCCCTGGTACCTTCAGCATTTAGCATATTCTGTTCATTAAGATAATACGAAGTTCTCTAACAAATAAACTCCCAAATTTTGGTGGCTTAATGTAAGAAAAGTTTATTTCCTTCTCAGTTGAGAATATAATGGGGGTGTTTCTGCTTCATAGACAACTTCCCTTCAAATAGTGATTCAGAGACCCAGACTCTCCCCATCTT
Source organism: Homo sapiens (assembly GCF_000001405.40). Lineage (NCBI taxonomy): Eukaryota > Metazoa > Chordata > Mammalia > Primates > Hominidae > Homo > Homo sapiens. The sequence goes on along the minus strand of NW_013171799.1, from coordinate 1,104 downwards.
GGGGTTCTGCAATTTTCCTAAGATCTCAGAGTTCTCTGCCTCCAGCCAGTAGAAAGGAAACAAGAGAGTAGAAAAGCAACATCCACATCTTAATCACCATCACCTGGACATACATCACTTATATTCATATTCCACTGCAAGACCAGTCAGTTGGTCCCTCACTGATGCAAAAAGGCAAGGGAAGTGTAGTCCCTGGCTGGGCAGCTCCTTACCAGAGATAGCTCTATTCTGTAGAAGAAGGAGCAGAAATTTTGGGTGAAGAGTAAGCCATCTCTGCCATGCTCTGTTATTAGGAGACACTTTATATCAAACATGTATAGATGAAAATGATAATAATACTTAGAATACCCACCATTTATTACCTATAATGACTCTTTTTGTCATAGGAATGGTATGTGTATGTATGTGTGTGTGTGTGTATATATATATATAATATATATATTATATATATAAAATATATATTATATATATAATATATATATTATATATATAAAATATATATAATATATATTAAATAAATATATATATAATATATATTAAATAAATATATATATACACATACATAAGTGTATATATATTTAAGTAAATGTTAAAATGTTGAGAGTATTTGAAGGAGAGAGAGAGGGGACCAGAGGAGACTCCATCAAGTAAAAGAGCTTGATTGGGCCTTGGAAGATTTGGACATGCAGCAAAGCTCAAAGAGGTAGTACAGGAAGAAGCCAGAGGAAAATAAGTGCAAGGTTTAGTAGAGAGTGACTATCTCCTTCAAATTTGCATGTCAAATATGTAAAGAGGAATAGTACGAATTAAAGATAAGAAGGTAGATAGAATTCAAATTCAGGTTAAAATGAGAAACAAATGTCTGGCTTTATTATACCAGCAATGGAGAATAGAGGAGTGATATAATCAGATTTGCAGTTAAAAGCATTTATCTGGAAGTCTTGTGAAAGAGGACTTGAAGAGAGAGTAATTGAAACCGGGGACATGAATTAGAAGACTAATATAATAAAGGGAGAGGTGACCAAGATTTGAGCTAGAAAATGATGGTAGAAATGAAGTAGATGAGAGGAATGCAAAAATGTATAATGGAGATAAAATAAATAC